>NC_000013.11:83451847-83604688 GCF_000001405.40 Homo sapiens
TCAAAAATTTATCATTTCTTTGTGGTAAAAACTGTTAAAATCTCTTTTGGTTGTTTTGAAATAGTTAATACATTATTATTAACTGTACTCACCATGCTGTGCAACAGATCATCAAAAGGTATTCCCCCTATCTAACCAAACCATTGTCCCTTTCACGGAAGGTTTCCTTCCCCCATCCACTCTGCCCCTCACCAGCCTCTGCCAGGGACTGTTTGTAACTGGGCTAGCAAAAGAGCAAGCTCAACAAAAATTTAAAAAGGAAAAAACAAAAACAAAACAAAAAACAAAACAAAACAAAACAAAAAAAACAAGAAAGGACAATGCTAAGACCACAAGAACTAGCCAAACTTTTGATAATTGGATGGGCTGATGTCATATTTGATATTTGATTCTGAAGGAACTCCACTTATGGCGGTGGCTCCCTGTATGGAATGGTCACTGCGAGGACGCCAGTTGCAGCGGAAGAGATGCAGCCGGGGCTATGTGCTCCGCGGAGCAGGTGTGGCATGGGAAGAGGCAATCCCAGCTGGAGCCACGTGCCCTACCGAGTTGGCAGGGTGGGAGCCCGTGCTCCTGGGAACAGCTGCACCCGCCCAGTCGTGACTCTGGGCTCAGGCATCCCTGCGCTCTTGGGGGCCTGGGAAACCTCCTGCCTCCACAGGCTCAAAAGTGCCTGCTCCCGCTCCCTGGCCACTCCCTGCTCCCAACTCCCACTTAGGTGTGAAGCAACGTTGTAGCCAAGCCCAGGCGCTGTCGCGACCCGGCTGGGTGTGCGCATGCTTGAGGTGGCGCTGAAATTCCAGACCCCCAAACGCCCACCTCCTCAGCCCCATCTGAAATTATGTACACCAGTGAGCTCAGGGAGGGAGGCAGGGGGCTCTGTGGGCAGCTCAGTGTGGGCTTGCAGGGGCCCCTCAGCGCGGACAGCCTGGACGCTATGGTCGTCATATTGATGGCTGCAGGATGCTGACAGGTTCCTAGGCAGGAAAGGACAGGTCCGTGGTGAAGCTTCACCTTCAAGCTTGGCCTGAAGCCTGGGGACCTGGCTGGCACTTCAG
The DNA here is from genome assembly GCF_000001405.40 of Homo sapiens. Classification (NCBI taxonomy): domain Eukaryota; kingdom Metazoa; phylum Chordata; class Mammalia; order Primates; family Hominidae; genus Homo; species Homo sapiens. The sequence goes on from NC_000013.11 coordinate 83,452,906, forward strand.
GGTGGCGTCTGCAACCTGGAGTGAGAAATTCCTTGATGCTCTTCAGACAATGGTATGGTGATTTGTCCCGGCCCACCCATGGACCAATCAGCATGCCCTTCCTCTATTCTGAGCCCTCAAAACCCAGACTCAGCCAGACTTGGACACTTGTTGGGACTACCTGCCTGCGGGTAGGAACTACCTACCTCAGGTCTCCTTTACACTCATCAGGATGACCTGCCTGTGGATAGGAGCTACCCACTTCGGGTCTCCTCTCCACTGATAGCTGTTCTGTCACTCAATAAAGCTCCTCTCTGCCTTGCTCACTCTCCAGTTGTCCACGTAACCTCATTCTTTCACTATGTGGGACAAGAACTCGGGACCCACCAAACAGTGAAAGCGAATGGAGCTGTGACATGTTCTTGGACGGCTCGCTGAGCTGCGGGCAGTTACACAGGCGGTGATACACTCCCAGACTGTGGGATTGTAGAGTAGCAACCCTTCTCGGGCTCAGACCTTGGAATTCCCCAACCCAGAGCTGCTGTAACACAATAGCCCTTTCGCCTTCCACCGGGGCCAGGTGGCCACCCCATGCAACAGAAAGCAGTGGTGGGCCCGGCCAGCCCAGGAGCCATGGGCCAGAGCTGGGCAGAAGGACTGAAAGAGCGGTAGCACAAACGGCTGAAACTCACCTCCCTGAAACATGACCCTCCTTCCCCACAACTTGCTGTGCTGCGGGCAACGAGGGGAGAAGACTGCAACCCTTCTGGGAGCCCAGATCTCGAGGTACCCTGAGCCAGGGCTGTGACCTGCTTTAACTCCCTTTTTGGGAATCTGTGTTTCCTGGTGTCTCCAGGCTTTTGGGTGCTACCATGTTCCCCTCAACTGGATGCTGGTGCCCACGGCAGATGCTGCTTGTAGTACATCTAGTCCAGCCGCAGCCTTGCACAGAGCCAGCGCCTGTGCCAGCGCCTGTGCCAGCACCTGGAACTGCCCACCCCACTGCAGCTGCCAGTGTGCCTGGCTGTATGCAGTGGCTGGAACCCACGCTTGCTAGCTCACACACCCCTCATTCTCCACTCCTCGTTTACTCTTGGCTGGTGTGGGATCCAGGCGGGTAGAGTGAGCCAGACACAGCCTGCCAAGCCAGGTGGGCAGAACAAGCCCAGTGAGCAAGAGCAAAACTCAAGCAGAAGTGCTGCCGGCCGCAGGCGTTTCCAGCGGGTGAAGTGATACCCTAAGGATCCTGTGACAGTATCCTCCATCCAGTAATTTTCTCTTATTTTGTTGAGTAAGCAGAGGAAATGAGCTAAACTGGAAAGCAGAAAGAAATTTGTGCTGTATAAGGAGTTAGAAACAATATCATACATCATATTTATTATATCATATGTCATATGGGTATAAATACATGCACATACACACATATATGTATTTGATCTTTTCAGGTCTTTGCTTTAAGGTAGATTCGTTGTACTGCAAGGTAGGAAATTGCCCTGCATTTTTAATTTTCCGGAAAGGTATCCCTAAAACTGGATTATAATGATTATTTTTATAAATATTTTGGTGGATTCACTGCTGAAGACATTTGTGTTTAGAGTTCTCTCTTTGAAGTAATTATACTTAAATACTTAAATTGCTTTCACATATTTAGGATTATTATTTTTCCATTATGTTGTAAGTGTTTTGGTTACATTTTTAAAAATAGTTTGTCCTTTTAATCTAAATTTTAAAATATATCAGCATAGTTTCCTTAGTAACACCTTCTTATTTATTTTTATCTTATTGTGGTTAAGAACACAACATGATTTATACATTCATAATAGATTTTGTAAGCATACAATGCTGTTAACTGTAGGCATGATGTACAGCAGATCTTTAGAAATTATGCATTCTGCATTGCTGCAATCCTATACCTGTTGATTACCAACTCCATTCCCTCCTCCACTGCGCTCCTGGAAATCACCATTCCGCATTCTCCTTCTATGAGAAAGATACCTCATGGAAGGGAAATCATGCAGTATTTGCCCTTCTCTAACTGGCTTATTTCACTTCCCATCATATACTCAAAATTCATCCATGTTTTAGCAAGTTGCAGAATTTTCTTCTTCTATTTTACTTTTAGAATTTTTAGCAATGTCCCCTTTATTCACTCCTGAAACTGTTTGTACTTCTTGTTTTCTTGAACAAATATTACAATGTATCAATTTTACTAGCTTTTCCCAAAAACAGCCTTTGTCTTTGTTAATGCTTTTGCCATATATGTGTTTTAGATTTCATTAGTTTATTGTCTTAGTTCATTTTATTTTGTGTAGTTTATTTGAGTTTACTATTATTTTATTACTTTTTAAAATGGAAATTTGGAATATTTCAATCTGTTTTCCTATCTATTATATCCATTTAAGCTACAAATTTAACTGTAAGTACAGAGTTAATGTTTTACTATATGCGTGTTTTAATATATGATATTCTTATAATTTATTTTAAATAATTTTGAGATTTTTATTTTTATTGAATCACAGGTTATTCCGAAATTTATTAATTTATTTTAAAACGGAGAGTTTCCAGTGTATATGTATTTTTTATTTTCTTATAATTTAACTCTGTGAAAAGAAAATACTTTGCATGATTTTCAGCCTGTGAAAATTGTTTTGATTTTATTTTGTTTCAGTTTATGGTTAATTGTGGTAAAGGTTTATTATGCATTCCTTTACAAATATAACTTGGATTAAGTTTCCTAATTTGTATGCATCAAATTTTTAATATTTTTTTATATTTTAAAATCTGATTATATATTTGTCTATTTCTTTTTCTATGTCAATTTTTGTTTTACACATTTTAAAAATTATTTTGTGATTAATCTATTTTATGTTCATCTGTTTAGAATTGCTATTTCTTCCTGCTATAATCATCTTTTTAAAATTATCCCTCTATTACTAATAATAATTTCTGATTATAATAGATATGATAACACCCTACTTTCTCTTATATTGAGATAGCTGCACCTGCTTTATTTTATATGCTAGATTGGTCATTTCATTTTATAATATTTATTTTCGCCTATTATTTTTAAAATCTAAAGTTTGTCTTTTGTTTTTGTGTATATGTGTTTTCTGTTATTATTTTAGGATTTCTTATTTTGTTCAATGTAAAAATTATTTTAATTGGAAAATTGAGTTTTTACCTTTTATAATCCTTACTTATTTTTCAATAACTTGATTATAATTTATGTAAGATGAATACAAAAATATAATATGTTAAGTTAGATATATTTTAGCTGATACATACATTTGGAATCCTGGCCACAATCAAGGTAGTGGAAATTTTCATTACCTGTAGGTTTACTCAGATCCCTCTGACTTGTCATAGGATAAATGTAAGAGCTTTATAAGCAACTATCAATCTCACAGAATGGTATGCCATAAAATACCAAAACTACCAGTATGGAAAAGATATGCACCAATAACTTATGGGGTTCTGATTTCTCCAAAACCTTATCCATACCTTGTAATATTAGGCTATTTGATTTTACTTCTTCTGATAGATATGCAGTGAAAACTCTTAGTTGCTTTAAGTCTGATTTCTGTGTTGACTCATGTCCGTAAGTAATTTTCCATGTGATTATGTGGCATTCTTATTCCTTTTCTGGTGGAGTCCTTATCAAAATGTTTTGCACTTTTGCATACATATATGTAGGTAAATAATATACAAAATTATCTCTTACTTTGTGGTTTGCGTTTTTATTAACGTACTGGGCTTTCTCAGATTACAAAACAGGTTTTAAACACCTGGTTTGTTATTTTTTCTTTTGTCTCTCAAACTTCTGTTCTCTTATATAAAAAGTATTTGCTTATTCCAAAGTTACGGATTTTTAAAATGTTTTCTTCTGGAGATTTTACAGTGGAACACTTACAGTTAGATACAAAACCATTTTTGAGTTTTTAAAAATTTCTAATATGAGAATTAATGGGTCTTGTTTTGTTTTGTTACATACTTTCTTTTTTAAACCTTTATTTTACATTTGAGGGTACATGTGAAGATTTATTACGTAGGTAAATATGCATCAAGTTTGTTTGTTTGTTGTACGTATTATTTTATCACCTAGGTATTAAGCCAAGTACGCAATAGTTATCTTTTTTGCGCCTCTGCCTCCTTCTATCCTCCACTTTCAAGTAGACCCCAGTGTCTGTTCTTTCCTTTGTGGGTTCTTAAGTTCTTATCATTTAACTTCCACTTACAGGTGAGAACATGTGGTATTTGGTTTTCTGTTTCTGCATTAGTTTGCTAAAGATAATAAAGATAATAGCCTCCAGCTTCATCCATGTTCCTGCAAAAGACATGATCTCATTCTTTTCATTGCTGCATAGTATTCCATTGTGTATGTGTGGAAATTTTTCTTTATCCAGTCTGTGATTAATGGGTATTTAGGTTGATTCCATCTATTTGCTATTGTGAATAGTTCTACAATGAACATTCACATGCATGTGTCTTTAGAGTAGAATGATTTATATTCCTCTGAGTATATACCCAGTAATGAGATTGCTAGGTCAAATGGTAGTTCTGCTTTTAGCTTTTTTTGAAGAGTCACCATACTGTTTTCCACAATGGTGGAACTAATTTACACTCCCACCAACAATGTATAAGTGTTCCCTTTTCTGCATAACCTTGCCAGCATCTGTTATTTTTTGACTTTCATATTTTAAAAGATTGGTCTTTCCCCATCTGATTGTCTTTTCTAAAAATCATTTGTGTCCATTTTAAATTCTTTATTTTGTCCTATTGACCTCTATATCCGTGATTATGCTATCACCCCACTACTTGATTGCAATAGTTTTAGGATAGTCAGGAATAGTAAGTCCTTCTGTGTTTAGTATTTTTTAATATTTAAAAAATCTGTTGGATATTCAAGAACACTTTCATTTGCATATAATTGAAGCTAGTCAATTTTATTTTTTAAAATAAAGCCTTTACAAATAGCATTGGAAATCCTAGCCCAAACAATTAGTCAAGAGAAAGAAATAAAAGCCATCCAAATTTTAAAGAAATAAGTAAATTTTTCTCAGCTCACAAATGACAATATGGAGAAAACTCTATAGATTCAAGAAAACTGCTAGAATTTATAAATTAATAAATTATAAATTAATTCAATTTCCATATCCCCACTGGTAAGATGCAAAATCTACACACAAAAATCTATATGTTTCTATACACTAACGTTAATTATCTTAAAAAGAATTTAAGAAAATAATTTCATTTACAATAGCTACAAAAATGTTTTCAAAACTTAAGAATAAAATTAACTCAGGAGGTAGGTTTCTATCACAATTTTTTCATTTCACTTAGATTTTCAAGTTAATTACCACAAAATGGTTTATAATATTGTTCATTGTTGTTTCCTCTCAGTTTTATGTGCAATTAAATTCACCTATTTTAATGTATAATTAGATGACTTAGGGAATTTTATTCAATGATTTAATCTACTGCATAATCCAGACATGGAAAATTTCCATCCATTTGAAAAGTTCCCTGTACCCCTTTGTAATCAATCTACTCCTCTAAGTTCTAGCTCTGGGCTGCCAATTTTTTGGTGATTTCCTGTCATTAAGATTTGGGCTTTTGACCAGGTGCAGTGCAGTGGCTCATGCCTGTAATTCTAGCATTTTCGGAGGCCAAGGCAGCGGGAAGACTTAAGGTCAGGAGTTCGAGACAAGCCTGGCCAACATGGTGAAATCCCGTCTGTACTAAACAAAAAAAAAATAGCCAGAAAAAGATTTGCATTTTCTTGAAATTTGTATAAATGGAATCATACAGAATACAGTATATTGAGTTTGACATTTTTTCCTAAACTTAACACTTTTAAGAATCATTGATTTTATGTTCATTTGAATCTCTTTATTGCTGAAGAGTATTCCAATGTATGGACATACCATGATTTTTTTCTAATTCATAATTTATAACAATTGTGATGTGTCTATTTCCCATTAGTATGACTAATGCTGGTATAAACATTTGCATACATTTGTGTGTGTGTGTATGTGTCTGTATAAACATGTTTTATTTCTTTTGGGAAAGTATTTATGTGTGGATTCATAATTTGGTAAATACATGCCTACCTTTATAATACATTTGCAAACTGTTTTCCAAAGTGGATGTGCCATTTTGCATTCTCACCCTTTTCCATCTATGACAATCTAAATTGTGTTACAGTCTTACAAAGACTTAATATTAATATACTTTATTTTTTATTGTAACCTCCATGGTGTGTGTATAACTTTTTCCTCTTTGTGATTATAGCTTGCAATTACCTGGTGAACAATATTATTGCTCATCTTTGTATGCATTCAATTTACATCTATGTAACTTCTTTTGTATATTTTTATCATATACAATTTTTTGTGCCGTTTTGTGTTTCAGATATCACAGAATAATTCAATATTCCAAAGCCTTTGTTATTTTTTTTCCAGCAGTTTTGTAATTTTAGTTCTTATATTCAGGTCTATGTTCCATTTTGAGTTCAATTTTGTATATTGTGTGAAGTAAAGATGATTTATTTTTTGTATGGATAGCCAGTTTGTCTAGAATCATTTATGGAAGAGATGATTTATCTCCATGTATTTACCTTGACATTTTTGTTTAACATCACATGACCATGCAAGTGTAGGTGTATTTTAGATGTGTTATTGTGATCATTGACTTTTAAGTCTACACTTAGGCCAATACTGTCTTAGCTATAACATTGCTTTATAGTAAGTATTGAAATCTTGAATTGCAAATTCTCTAACCTCTACCTCTTCATTTACTTTGGTCCTTAAATATCCATAATAAAATTTCATACATTTTGATGTTGTTTCTGCACATTTTTAATTAAATTAATAAATGTATTTCTTTTTGTCACGTTGCTGCAAATGGAGATTTTTCATTTGCTTTGTCTTTCAACATTATGACCCATTTCTTATCAGATTTGTAGGTAAATCTCTTCTTTCACTCTTGGTATTATTAACAAATGTATCTTTTAAAAAATAACTATTATTTATTCTTTTTCCCCTTTTTTCAAAACACAGATTTTGTTTTACTGATTTTTTTTTTCTATTCTGTATCTGTTTCATTTATCAATATCTACATTTCTTTTTGTGATCGATTTGTTCTTTATTTTCTGGCTTCCTTTTCTTCAGAAATAGGTTACTGATTTTTAAACTTTTATCCTATTATAACAAATAATAAATTTAAACTTTTATTATAACAAATTATAAATTTAAGGCTATAAATTTTCATCTAATCATTATTTGAATAGCCTTTCACAAGTTGATATGAGTTGTTTTCTTTATGATTTGTTCAATTAATTTTTTGCTGATTTTAAAAAACCTATTATTTATAATATATGTAGGTCATTCTCTGCATGTGTTATTTTTGTTTACTTTGAGATTAATTGTTGTGGTCAGAGTTTTCTACAGCGTTAAATGGTCTTTAATCTATTGAAACATGTTTCATGACTGGCATGTATTGCATATTAGTGGTAGTGCCATGTGTATAGGAAACAAATGTAAACTTGTGAAGTCTCCAGTTGTTGGATGAGGCATTACAAAAAATGTCAATTAAATAATGTGATTGATAGTATCATTCAGATTTTCCATATTCCCACTGAAATTTTTGTTAAGTTGCTGTTGACAACAGTTATTGAGATGGAAACATTAATGCTACTAACTCTAATTTAGACTTTATATCTCCTTTGTAATGCTGTCAATTTTTGCTCATATATTTTAAATCTCTGCTAGTGGACACAACCACATACAAATGTTATATCTTCCTAATATATTGGCTGCTTATTACTATCAAGTGTTTCTCTTTATTTTAAATGTCCATTTTTGTTTGCTTGTTTATTTTTTGTCTGATAGTATTATAGCCAACTTTGCTTGCTTATGTTCCCTGTTGCATGGTTTACCTTTCACAACCTATTATTTCTATCTATCGTGTCATCATATTTTAAGAATATTTCTTATAAGCATGATAGAGTTGGGTCTTCATTTTCTTAGAGGGTCTAACAATTTCTGCCCTTTGAGACAGGGGTTAATCTATTTAATTTAAATATTTATTGATATCTAGTCTTGGTTCCTCAGCTTCTCCTTTACTGCCTACATTTATTACTGCTAATAATATTTTCATATTCATATTCAATTTTACTTTATTTATTAGAATGTATAACTATATAATGTTATATCTGCTTTAGTGGTTATCCTGGAGATTACAGAATACATTGATAATTTATTACAATCCACTTAGAATTAGTATTTAATTAGTTTATGTAATATATAGAAAACTTGCAAGCATGCATTTCCTTTTTCCTCTCTATAGTACTACTTTATCACATATTTTTACATGCACTATAAATTTCCAATTTTATTTCAAATAAGCCTAAAAGTTTTAAAGAAATGTATAAAACAAAAGTATGTACATAGCCCGTTATATGTAGCTACAGTGCACAATAGCCTGTGTTTTTTATTCAGTCATATAGATTGATTTGTGAACTGGTGTAATCTCCTTTCAGCCTCAAAATTTTACTGTAAAATATATTGTAGTGTAGGTATACTGGTGGTAATTTATTTTGTCTTTCTTTACTTACTTATCATGTCTTCAAGATATCAAAGTGGGGCAGGGCCAAGATGGCCGACTAGAATCAGTGGCATTCGGAGGCTCCCATTGAAAAAAACCATAATAAGTGTGTGAATCCTTCACCAGCAACTGAGGTATCCAGATTCTCTCATCAAAATTGACTAGAAAACTGGCATGACCCATGGAGAGAAAAAAGAACAGTGTGGTACAGCAGCCCACCTGAGAGCCACAAGCGGCAGGGGAACCCCCTCTCCCCAGGCAAGGGAGGCAGTGAGTGAGCATACTACCCAGCCAGGGAAGCTGCTTTTTCCACAGAACTATGCAACCCACGGATCAGAAGATCCTACTTGTGAACCCAAGGCACTGGGGCCTAGAATCCCAACCCTGGAATGTTCAAATTCTTACAGCCTCTCAGCTGGAATCAGATTAAGCCTACTGAACTCCCCCAGGGAGTGGTAACCAGGACTGGCTGCAGCTGCCTGCTAAGCTGTTTGAGCTCCTTGGGTAGGGGCAGCAGCCAGCACTGGGACTGGCAACTGCCTAATATGCTAAGCTCCCTGGGCGAGGTAAGGACGGCACCCATCTCTATAGCTCCAGCCTGCGTTTTTCTCTGCTGGAGCCAGGGAAGCTGGACGTCTTGGTCCCAAGACTTGTCCCCACAGCCCAACACACCAACTGTGGCAGTCTGTGGCCAGAGTAACTCTTCAGGCCTAAGCCTGACCAATCCCTCCTTATTGGGCAGGACTTCCCTTCAGGTACTCCAACAACTCCAGCCAGAGGTTCAGGGACATAATCCAGTTCTCCCTGGGCCTGAGCCCCTAGGTGGCGGGGTGGCCACAGTCTGTGGACCAATAGACTTAACCTCTCCTCCTGGTAGTTCTGAGGAATCCAGACAGCTCAGATGAGTGGGATTCCCCCCAGGGAAGCACATCAGCTCCACCAAGGGACAAAGTGCTCTGTTAAACGGGTCCTGCTCCTTGTGCCTCCCAACTGGGTGAGAACTTCCAAAAGGGGTTTTCAGACACCCTATACAGGAGAGAACTGGTATCAAGTTGGTGACCCTCAAGGTCACAGGTCCCAGGAGAAGGAGCAGGCACTCATCTTTGCTGTTCTCCAGCCTCCTCGAGTGACATCTCCAAGCACAGGAGTGAATCAGATGAATAGGGCCTGAAGTGAACCCCTAGCAAACTGCAGGAGCCCTACAGAAGACAGACCTGACTATTGAAAGAAAAAAAACAAAAAACAAAAAACAAATAAGCAGAAAGCAACAGCAACAGCACCATCAACAACAAAAAGCCTCCATAAAAACCCCATTCAAGGGTCAGCAGCTTCAAAGACTGAAGCTAGACAAACTCATGCAGATGAGAAAGAATCAATGAAAAAATGCTGAAAACTCAAAAGGCCAAAGTGCCTCTTCTCCTCAAAATGATTGCAACATCTCTATATTAAGGGTGCAAAACTGGATGCCGGTTCAGATGGACAGATTGACAGAAATAGGCTTCAGAAGATAGGTGATAAAAAAACTACGCTGAGCTAAAGGAGTATGTTCTAACCCAATGCAAAGAAGCTAAGAACCTTGATAAAAGGTTAGAGGAATTGCTAACTAGAATAATCAGTTTAGAGAGGAACATAACCTGATGGAGCTGAAAAACACAGCACAAGAACTTCATGAGGCATACACAAGGATCAATAGCCAAATAGACCAGGCAGAAGAAGGGATATCAGTTTGAAGACCACCTTGCTGAAATAAGACATGCAGACAAGAATAGAGAAAAAAGAATGAAAAGGAATGAACAAAGCCCCCAAGAAATATGGGATTTCATAAAAAGACCAAAGCTACAATTGATTGGAGTGCCAGAAGGAGATTGAGAGAATGGAAACAAGCTGGAAAACACACTTTAGGGTATTTTCCAGAAGAACTTCCCCAACCTAGCAAGACAGGCCAACATGCAAATTCAGGAAACACAGAGAATACCACTAAGATACTCCATAAGAAGAAGATCAACCCCAAGACACATAATCAACAGATTCTCCAGGATCAAAATGAAGGAAAAACTGTTAAGGGCCACCAAAGAGAAAGGCCAGGTCACCTACAAAGGGAAGCCCATCAGACTAACAGCAAACCTCTCAGCAGAAACTCTACAAGCCAGAATAGATTGGGGTCCAATATTCGACATTCTTAAAGAAAAGAATTTTCAACCCAGAATTTCATAACAAGCAAAACTAAGCCTCATAAGCAAAGGAGAAATAAAATCCTTTCTAGACAAGCAAATGCTGAGGGATTTTTTTTTTACCACCAGGCCTGCCCTGCAAGAGCTCCTGAAAGAAGCACTAAATACGGAAAGGAAAAACCAGTACCGGCCACTGCAAAAACACACAAAAATATAAACACCAATGACACCATGAAGAAACTGCATCAACTACGGTGCAAAATAACCAAATAGCTTCATGATGACAGGATCAAATTTACAAATAACAATACTAATCTTGGATGTAGGTGGGCAAAATGTCCCAATTAAAAGACACAGACTGGCAAGTTGGATAAGGAGTCAAGGCCCATCGGTGTGCTGTATTCAGTAGACCCATCTTACATGCAAAGATACACACAGTCTCAAAAAAAAAGGGATGAAGGAAAATTTACCAAACAAGTAGAAAGCATAAAGGAAGAAGGGGTTGCAATCCTAGTCTCTGACAAAATAGACTTTAAACCAACAAAGATCAAAAAAAAGACAAAGAAGGGCATTACATAATGGTAAAGGGAAAAATTCAACAAGAAGTGCTAGCTATTCTAAATATATATGTACCCAGTACAGGTGCACACAGATTCATACAACAAGTTCTTAGAGATCTACAAAGAGACTTAGACTTCCACACAATAATAGTGGGAGAGTTTAGCACCCCACTGTCAGTATTAGACAGATCACTGAGACAGAAGCAATATGCAGGACATGAACTCAGCACTGGATCAAGTGGATCTAGTAGACACCTACAGAACCCTCTACCCCAAATCAACAGAACATACATTCTTCTCCATGCCACATTCCACTTATTGTAAAATCGACCACATAATTGGAAGTAAAACACTCCTCTGCAAATGCAAAAGAACTGAAATCATAACAAACAGTCTCTCAGACCACAGTGCAATCAAATTAGAACTCAAGATTTAAAAACCCACTAAAAAACCACACAATTACATGGAAATTGAGCAACCTGCTCCAGAACGGCTCCTGAGGAAATAAGGAAATTAAGGCAGGAATCAAGAAGTTCTCTGAAGCCAATGAGAAGAAACAGACAATGTACCAGAATCTCTGGGACACAGCAAAAAGAGTGTTAAGAGGGAAATTTATAGCACTAAATGCCCACATCAGAAAGCTAGAAAGATATCAAATTGACACCCTAGTATCACAAGTGAAAGAGCTGGAAAGGCAAGAGAAAACTAATCCAAAAGCTAGCATGGAAGATGAAAAACTAACCAAGATCAGAGAAGAATTGAAGGAGGTAGAGACATGAAAAGACCTCCAAAAAAATCAATAAATTCAGGAGCTAGTTTTTTGAAAAAATTAACAAAGCATATAGACTAATAGCTAGGCTAATAAGAAGAGAAAGAAGAATCAAATAGACACAATAAGAAATTATAAAGGGGATATCACCACTGATGCCAGAGAAATACAAACTACAATCAGAGAATGATATAAACACCTCTACACAAATAAACTAGAAAATCGAGAAGAAATGGACACATTCCTGGGCACATACACCCTCCCAGGACTAAACCAGGAAGAAGTCGAATCCCTGAATAGACAATAACAAGTTCTGAAATTGGGGCAATAATTAATAGCCTGCCAACCACAAAAAGCCCAGGACCAGAAAGATTCACAGCTGAATTCTACAAGAAATATGAGGAGGAGCTGGTAACATTCCTTTTTAAACTATTTCAAACATTTGAAAGGAGGGATTCCTCCCTAACTCGTTTTATGAAGCCAGCATCATCCTGATACCAAAACCAGGAAGAGACAGAACAAAAAAAGAAAAATTCAGGCCAATATCCTGGATGAACATGGATGTGAAAATTCTCAGTAAATTACTGGCAAACCAAATCCAGCAGCACATCAAAAAGCTTATCCACCACGATCAAGTTGGCTTCATCCATTGGATGCAAGGCTGGTTCAACACATGCAAATCAATAAATGTAATCCATCACATAAGTAGAACCAAAGACAAAAACTACATGATTATCTCAATAGATGCAGAAAAGGCCTTTGATAAAATTTAACATACCTTCATGTTAAAAATTCTCAAAAACTAAACTAGGTATTGATGGAACATATTTCAAAATAATAAGAGCTATTTATGAAAAACCCACTGCCAATATCATATTGAATGGGCAAAAGCTGGAAGCAAACCGGTACAAGGATGCCCTCTCTCACCACTCCTATTCAACATAGTATTGGAAGTTCTGGCCAGGGCAATCAGACAAGAGAAAGAAAGGTATTCAAATAGGAAGAGAGGAAGTCAAGTTGTCTCTGTTTGCAGACGACATGATTTTATATTTAGAAAACCCCATCATCTCAGCCCAAAAACTATTTGAACTGATAAGCAACTGCAGTAAAATATCAGGATAGAAAATCAATGTGCAAAAATCACAAGCATTCCTTTACACCAACAATAGGCAAGCAGAGAGCATTATCACAAATGAACTTCCATTTACAATTGCTACAAAGAGAAGATAATATCTAGGAATACAGCTAACGAGGGATGTGAAGGACCTCTCCAAGGAGAACTAGAAACCACTGCTCAAGAAAATAAGAGAGAACACAGACAAATGGAAAAACATTCCATCCTAATGGAAAGGAAGAATCAACATTGTGAAAATGGCAATACTGTCCAAAGTAATTTATAGATTCAATGCTCTTCCCATCAAACTACCATAGACATTCTTCACAGAATTAGAAAAAACTATTTTAAATGTCATATGGAATCAAAGAAGACCCCATATAGTCAGGGCTATCCTAAGCAAAAAGAACAAAGCTGGAGGCATCATGATACCTGACTTAAAACTATACTACAAGGCTACAGTAACCAAAACAGCATGGTCCTCGTACCAAAACAGACATATAGACCAATGAAACAGAACAGAGACCTCAGAAATAACACCACACATCTACAACCATCTGATCTTCGACAAACCTGACAAAAACAAGCCATGGAGAAAGGATCTCCTATTCAGTAAATGGTGCTTGGAAAACTGGCTAGCTATATGCAGAAAACTGAAACTGGACCCCTTCCTTCCACCTTATACAAAAATTAACTCAAGATGAATTAAAGACTTAAATGTAAAACCTAAAACCATAAAAGCCCTAGAAGAAAACCTAGGCAACACCATTCAGGATGTAGACATGGGCAAACACTTCATGACAAAAATGCCGAAACAAATTGCAACAAAACCCAAATTTGACAAATGAGATCTAATTAAACTAAAGAGCTTCTGCACAGCAAAAGAAACTATCATCAGAGTGAACAGGCAACCTATAGAATGGGAGGAAACTTTTGCAATCTGCTCATCTGACAAAGGTCTAATAGCCAGAATTTACAAGGAACTTAAACATATTTACAAGAAAAAAACAACCTCATCAAAAAGTGGGCGAAGGATATGAACAGACACGTCTCAAAAGAAGATATTCACACAGCCAACAAACATAAAAAAAAAGCTCAACCTCACAGATCATCAGAGAAATGCAGATCAAAACCACAATGAGATATCATCTCATGCCAGTCAGAAGGGTGATTATTAAAAAGTCAGGAAACAACAGATGCTGGCGAGGCTGTGGAGAAATACTAATGTTTTTACACTGTTGGTGGGAATGTAAATCATTTCAACCATTGTGGAAGACATTATGGAAATTCCTCAAGGATCTAGAATCAGAAACACCATTTGAGCCAGCAATCCGATTACTGGGTATATACCCAAAGAAATGTAAATCATTCTACTATAAAGACACATGCACACATATGTTTACTGCAGCACTATTAACAATAGCAAAGACTTGAAACCAACCCAAATGTCCATGAATGATAGACTGGATAAAGAAAATGTGGTACACATACACCATGGAATACCACGAAGTTATAAAAAAGAATGAGATCATGTCCTTTGCAGGGAAATGGATGAAGCTGGAAGCCATTATCCTCATCAGACTAACATAGGAACAGAAAACCAAACACCACATGTTCTCACTCATAAGTGGGAGATGAACATTGGGAACACTTGTACATAGAGAGGGGAATAACACACCAGAGCCTGTTGTGGGGTGAGGGGTAAGGGGAGGGAACTCAGAGGACAGGTCAATAGGTGCAGCAAACCTCCGTGGCACATGTATGCCTATGTAACAAACTTGAACGTTCTGCACATGTATACTGTTTGTTTGTTTGTTTTAGGAGAAAATAAAAGTTATGGAGTTGACAATAATAAAATATTTTATTAACTGAAATGAGAAAAGATATCAAAGCAGCTAAAAAATGAATTATTTGTATTCCATTTTTTGTTTATTAATTTCTTACATGTATATATTTCCACCTATTTCAATGATTGGTTTGGAAAATATAACATATAATTTTGAATATTTAAGTCTAAATAAATTAATGTTATAACCAGTTACCAGAAAATGTAAGGAACTTAAAACATTTTAGTCAACTAACAAATCTTACACCTTTTAACTTTATATAAACCTTTGTTTTAACCATATAACGCCCACTGGAAAATAAAACTAAGGTGTCAGACTCTTCTATAAGCAAACTAGAATGAAAACTCTAACTGTTTAATACAAATATATTTATGACAGGGAAGAAACAAAATAAATATATGGAGACAGGGAAAAATGGTCAGTCTCAGAAAGAAACTGGCAAAACTTAGTAGAAGAGTATTTGTGAGAGAGAAAAAAATACATAAGAAATTATAAGAAAAAATAATATACCTTCTATCTCTAATAAAAATATTTTCATATTGCCTATATTCAGATTTTTTTGGAAAATGACACAAATGTTATGTTTACAATAAACAGAAATAGATTTTCATAATATGCATAAACAAATGTTTATAAACATGCCTATGTTTATAATTTTTAGATGGTGACATTTATAATGCTTTTCCTGACAATGCAAAAACAATTAACCAACCAACACAGAATTTATATATAATGTTATATAACTAATTTATTTCTCAAATTATAGAAGACATAATTGAGAAATTATGATGTGAAAATAGCGAAATAGAAACACACAAGAACCCTACAGTATCTTTACAAGGCATTATGAGAGTCTACAAATATCAGTGTACATTTAAGAACCTATCAATCATAAAATATATTTGTAATAATAAAACATCAACACTATATTGTACTTTCCTAATAGTTTGAACTGTTTCTTTATTGAAGCTTTATTCATTTTGTTACTTACCCCTATAGTAAAGATTGGGAACTATTCTTATTTTTAAAAATCCCAAAACACAAATTACAACTTAGTACAAAAAGTGTGAGAGTTTCTACTATTACCTTGCATGGGCTAACTTTCAAGGAATCAGTGTCTGCACTATTTTTCATTTAGATGTTCTCTATTATATCATAAGAGTTGTATGTCTTGACAATATGATTCACAGAACCTTTTCAGGGAAAATTTTTATTTAGTGTGTGACAAGGATGCTTCTATACAATTAAGAAGGTAGGACAGAAGTAGAACTCATTACCGTTTCTGAGGAATTGGGGGCAGGCATGGAGATTTTGACAGATGGCTAATGAAGTTTCTGCAGGCACCTTTGGTAGGAGCTGTCCTTCTGTGCTTCAGCCACATCAGTGCTCAGTACAAATCAGAAATTTGAGAAATGTATCCAATAATTCCTGAGCTTTTCAATTTTGCGAAGTAAGTAGAGACATTCCCTAACTCTGCTCATGAAGCCTATCCATGATTTTGTACAGCTTCTACTTTTAGAAGGAAAAACAACTTTTGGAAAACAAAACTTCTCTTAATGCCAAGTAATGCCCACTTCTTTGATCATGACCCACTTCTATGATACTCTTCACTGCTGAATTCCACAAACCGTCTTCTTCTTCTACCAGTTTCCCTCCAATGTTCTATTACGCAAAGCTCTATTATTTGCCTTTACCTCCAGCAATCTACTGATCTTGTTTTCATTATGGTCAGTAATAACTGCCCTGTTGCTAAATTCAACGATAATTACTTATTCTTTATGTTACTTGATAGTTGACCTCTCTTTGACACAGTTAATATTTGCTTACACCACTTCATTTACTTGCCTTCCAAGATACTATACTTTCTTTTCTCCGACCTCATTAGCTGCTTGTCTTTGATCCCCTTGGATGTTTCATCTGCAATGTTTGGATGTCTATGATGTCTTTCACAATTTATTCTGACTGTTCTTATGATCTCATTCTATCTCATGACTTTAAAATTGTCTATGTGCCAAATTTATCTTTCTATTTTAAAAATTTCCCCTTACTTCATATCGTATACGTAAATATCTACTGGAGATCTCCACTTAAATATCTAACAGCTTAAATTTTAAATGCCCCAAACTGTTCCACATTCAATTTTTTCCCCATTATTTTTTTGGTAACTCTATGTTCCAAGTTGCTCACCAAGGCCCTTGGAGTCATCTTCAAATCTTCCCTTTAACTCCAATCCTCTGCCAAATATTTAATAAAATAGTGCCCCTACATATAAAATATGTCTTGAATCTAGCCACTTCATACCCTCTACACAAGAACCATCCTAGTTTTAGCTACTATCTTGCCACAGATGAATTACCACAATACATATCTCTCCCTGCTTCTATTATTTTCTTTCATGGTCCATTCTCAACATAATAGCTATCCAAAGTGATTTAAACCATAAGCTAATCATGTTTGCTTCGTAATCAAGACCCCTATGGCTTTTTCATTTAATGAAAGTAAAAGCAAATGTTCTCATACTACAAAACCCTTTCTCTTCTAATTACATAGCTGACTTTCTCTTTTACAGCTCTTACTCAATCCCAATCTAATCACAATTTATTCTGTTTTATCCACTTCCAACAATAATTTAAGAAATTGTATCCTTCTGCTTATGTAATGCCTTTTAGTATTATTCACCACCTTTGAACTGCCAGGACTAATGTTTGGACTAATGTTTGTATTCGGGTCCTCATATGTCTTGACTGGACTATTGGAAATCTTCTGTTTATTTCAAGATTTCGATTATTTTGCTATTCTAATCGAATTTATATCTTACCAGAATTATCTTCCTAAATTATAAATTTGACCTTGTTATTCCAGTTTTCAAAAACCACCAGCTATCCTGCATACATTTAAAAAAGATTGTCAGCATTATGTTACAATTGATTATCTTTAGCTCTATCACATTTGTATGGTCATTATACCAACCTCTTCATTCATGGGACACACTCTGCCATTCCACACTTCAGACTTTTCCTTTTTATTGCTGTTTCTGGAATCCCTTTTCATCTCTCGATTTGTATCTATCTCACTTCAGCCTAAATCAATTTACTATGTAACTGATTCTTTAACTAAATCAATTTACTCTGCAACTAATTCTTTAAGAAGTCTTTTTGAGTTACCTCATACTCCCGAGGTGCATTTATCCATCTCTTGATGGTATTTGTGATGATCTCACTGGAAGGGAGGAACCATGTTGGGTTTTTTAATCATAACATTAAATATTACTTGGGGCTATGCTTAGCAAATAATGGCCTATAAATAATGTGTCTTGCTGTCAGGTTCCCCATTAGCAGCATGCTGATAATAATATTTAGCCTATCTCCCTTGCAACATTGTAACATTTAAATAAGATGCATGTAATACACTTTCTCAACTGTTAAGTATGATAAAAATATGTCAGTGTTATTCACTGAAAAGTTCTTTTTCTGAACCGAAGGAAAGTTTATTGATATTGTAAGGCTATATCTGAGCCATTAGAGTAGATGTTCTCTTCTATTAGTGTAAAGGTATATAATATGCTTTATTTTTAATATAAACCAAGATGTGTGTTTTTTGTATCTTTTTATGACAAAAGTCATTATGAAATGCCCCCTTCCCCTGATGTTGCTACCTAAAGAGTGCCATACTTTTTAATAAGATATTATGGCAAAAACAATGTAAACTGAACAGTTAACATTGTATGGAAAACAATAGTAGTAAGGACGACAATATACCCAAATTTTAACAACTTTTACTGTTTTCAATGGAGGCATCCCAAGCTAAGCTACTCTTATCATTGAGGTGAAATTATAATAACTTTTTAAAAATGTAGATCAGGTCATATTCCTTCCTCACTGCAAAATCTTCCAGTAGCTTTCCATGCAACATCAATTTAAAGGACATAACCTCCTCACAGTCTCTGAATTGCCTTTTACTCCTTCTGCCCTCTGCTTACTCTAGCATCCTTCTTTATGTCTATAACCGCCAGCATGCCAAAGCACTTGAGGCGTTTGCACATACTCTTCTGTTTTTTTTTTTTTTTTTTTTTTTTGAGACGGAGTCTTGCTCTGTTGCCCAGGCTGAAGTGCAGTGACGTGATCTCGGCTCACTGCAACCTCCGCCTCCTGTGTTCAAGCGATTCTCCTGCCTCAGCCTCCCAAGTAGCTGGGACTACAGGCGCCCACCACCATGCCTGGATAAGTTTTGTATTTTTATTAGAGAAGGGGTTTCACAATGTTGGCCAGGCTGGTTTTGAGCTCCTGATCTGGTAATCTGCCTGCCTCAGCCTCCCAAAGTGCTGGGATTAAAGGCATGAGCTACTGCGCCTGGCCACTTCTATTTTTAATGCTCGTCTTCCAACTACCTCCATATTTATCTGCTTCACTTACCACAAGTCCCCATGAAAATGTCACTAGGACGGACCAGGATGCATAAAATAATATGCACATACACAATAAAGCACACAAGCCAAACATACACACAGAAAAACATATATGCATACCTGACATTATTCCCTAGTTTATGTTTTCTCTATCTAAGTATTTTTACCAACAAACTGTGCATGTGTTTCTGTGTGCATGTCTGTAGGTTATAAGCTCATTGTCTGTTGCCTTCCAAGGCAATGAAAGTTTTGAATTCTACCAAAGATTTAAGGAATAACTAAAAACAATTCTTCTCAAACAACTCTGAAAAATCTGAGAAGAAAGAAAACTTCCAAACTCATTTTACAAGGCCAGCATTAACCCTGATATTCCAAGCCAGAAAAGGACACTACAAAGAAATAAAATTGGATGCCAATATCACCAATGGACATAGATGCAAAAGGCCTCAACAAAATACAAATCAAATTTAATGGCACATTAAAAAGATCATTCACCATATGGTTAAGTGGGATTCTTCCCAGAGATTCAAGGCTGGTTCACATATGCAAATCAATAAATGTAATAAATCACATTAACAGGATGAAGGAAAAAATAATATCATTCCAATAGAAATAAAACGTATTTGGCAATATTCAACAACTTTTCATGATAAAAGCTCTTAACAAATTAGGTATAGAAAGATTGTACCTCAACATGATAAAAGCCATATATATGACAAACACATAGCTAATATCATACTCAATGAGAAACATTTGAAAGCTTTTTTCTTTAAGATCTGGAACAAGTAACAGATGTCCACTCTAATCACTTCTCTTTAACATAATCCTGGAAGTCCTAGCCAGAGAAATTAGGCAAGAGACATAAATAAAGGCATCCAAATTGGAAAGGAAGAAGTTAAATTGTCCCTGCTTGCAAACAACATGAACTTATATTAAAAAAAACTCCAGGCCGGGTGTGGTGGCTCACGTCTGTAATCCCAGCACTTTGGGAGGCCGAGGGGAGCAGATTGCCTGAGATCAGGAGTTCGAGACCAGCCTGGCCAGCATAGTGAAACCCCGTCTCTACTAAAAATATAAAAATTAGCCAGGTGTGGTGGCAGGTGCCTGTAATCCCAGCTACTCGGGAAGCTGAGGCAGGAGAATGGCTTGAACCTGGGAGGCAGAGGTTGCAGTGAGCCGAGATCACACCACTGCACTCCACCCTGGGCAACAGAGCGAGACTCCATCTCAAAAAAAAGAAAAAAAAAAAAAACTCCAACATTTTCACCAAAAAACTGTTAGAACTACTAAACACATTCAATAAAAATCCAGTACACAAAATCAATGCACAAAAATCATTAGCATTTCCATACACTAACAATGAACAGTCTGAAAAAGAAATCAAGAAAACTATCCCATTTATAATAACTACAAAAATTAGAATTCTTAAAAATAAATTTAACCAAGGAGGTACAAGATCTTTAAACTGAAATCTATAAAACGTCAACAAAAGGAATTGAAGAAGACACAAATAAAAGGTAAGAAATCCTGTTTTCATGAATTGGAATGATTAATATTGCTAAAATGTCCGTACTGCCAAAAGCAATCCACAAATTCAATGTAATCCTTATCAAAATACCAGGGATATTCTTCATAGGAATAGAAAAACAATCCTAAAACTTGTTTAGAACCACAAAAGATCCCAAATAGCCAGGGCAACCTTAAGCATAAAGAAGAAAGGTAGAGGCATTATACTACCTAACTTCAAAATGTACTACAAGCTCTAATTACCAAAATACCATGGTACTGGCATAAAAACAGTCTCAGAGAACAATGGAACAGAATAGAAAACTCAGAGCTAGATCCATACATTTACAGTCAACTAATTTTTGTCAAATTTTCCAAGAATACAAGGTAAAAAAAAGGACAAATCTTCAATATATGGTGTGGGACCACTGAATATCCACATGTAGAAGATTAAAATTAGATCCTTACATCACTCCATATACAAAAATCAATGCAAAATGAATTAAAGATTAAAATGTAAGACCTTTAACTGTAAAATCACCAAAGGAAAACATAGGGGAAATTTTCCATGACTTTTGTGTGAGCAATAATTTTTTTGGATATGACCTAAAAAGCAAAGACAACAACAAAAATAGGCAAATGGGATTACATCAAATTAAAAATCTTCTGCAAAGCAAAGGAAGCAATGAACAGAATAAAGAGAAAAACCTACAGAATAAGAGAAAATACTTGCCAACTATACACCTGATACAGAACTGACATTGTTTCGATGTTTGTCCCTTCCAAATCTTATGTTGAAATGCAATTCCCAGTGTTGGAGGCGGAGGTGGGCCTCTTGGGATGTTTATTGGTCATGGGGGGAAATTCGTAAGAAATGACATGGTGCTGCCCTCCTCATGGTAATAAGTAAGTTTTTCTTCTGTTAGTTCATAGCAGACCTGGTTGTTTAAAAGAGCCTAGCATCTCTCTCTTCCTCTCTTTCTCTCACCATGTGACACACCGGCCCCTCCCCCCTTTAACTTCTGACATGATTGGAGGCTTCCTGACCCCCTTGCCAGAGCAGATGCTGGTGCCATGCTTTTTATACAGCCTGCAAAACTATGAACCAAATAAACCTCTTTTCTTTGTAAATTACCCAGTCTCTGGTATTCCTTTACAGCAATGGAAAATGAACTAATTCAGTGGTTAATATCCAAAATAGACAAGGAACTGAAACAACTCAATAGCAAGAAAACAAATAATTCACTTAAAAATGAGCAAAGGACATGAATAGAATAGTTAATTCTAAAAAGGAGATTTACAAATGGCCATTAGGTGTATGAAAAACTGCTCAGTGTCGCTAATTGTCAGGGAAATGCACATTGCAGCCACAAAAAAAATATTACCTCATACCTGTAAAAATTGCTACTATTAAAAAACAAAAGATAAGTTTTGGCAAAAAGAGAAGCAAAAGAAACCCTGGCACACTGTTGGTGGGCATGTAAATTTGGACAATCATTATGGAAAACAGTATGAAGGTTCACCAAAAAAATAAAAACTAAAACTACCACATGATCCAAGAATCCCACTACTGGGTATATATCTAAAAATACTGAAGCCAGTATGTCAAAGAGACATCTGCCTTCCCATGTTTATTGAAGCATTATTCACAGTAGATAAGAAATGGAAAAAAAAATTGCCTATCAATGAGTGACTGGATAAAGAAAATGTGGTACTTTTCATTGTGTCTTACTAGTCATAACAAAGGGCACATATATCACCATTTGTAATAACATGGATGAACCCAAAGGGCATTATGTTAAGTAAAAGGATCCAGGCACATAAAGACAAATGCCATATGATCTCACTCACTATGTGAAATCTAAAATACTTAATCTCACAGATGTAGAGAGTAGAATGATGAATACCAGGGGCTGAAGTGGTTTGGGGATGAGTGCGAGATTTTAGTCAAAGTACACAAATGTTAAAAGGAATAAGTTCAAAAGATCTATTATACAACATTGTGACAATAGTTAATAACAATATATGTATTGTATTATTGAAAACCACTGAGAAGAGATGTAAATTGTTCTCAGCCCCACAATAAAAAATCCGTGAGGTAATGCTTATGTTAATTAGCTAGATTTAGTCAGTCTAACATACAAATACGTATTTTTTAAAACTTGCTGTACATAATAAATACATAATTTTATCTGTCAATTTAAAAAACAAATAAGGGCCGGGCGCGGTGGCTCACGCCTATAATCCCAGCACTTTGGAAGGCTGAGGCGGGCGGATCACGAGGTCAGGAGATCGAGATCATCCCGGCTAACACGGTGAAACCCCGTCTCTACTAAAAAAATACAAAAAATTAGCCGGACGTAGTGGCGGGCCCCTGTAGTCCCAGCTACTCGGGAGGCTGAGGCAGGAGAATGGCGTGAACCCAGGACCCAGAGCTTGTAGTGAGCCGAGATCGCGCCACTGCACTCCAGCCTGGGCGACAGAGCAAGACTCTGTCTCAAAAAAAATAAAAAATAAAAATAAAACACAACAAAAAAATCATGTGAGTTTAAGTTTCTTTAAGCAACAGTTTACTCATCAGTAAAACAATTTGGTAAAATATCAATTTACTTGGGCCCAAATAAGTATCAAGTAAGTTAATATGTGACACTTTTAAGATGATAAATGAAGGAAATGAGAGTGTTTAGGTGAAAAGTAAGGAAAGAAATGAAGAACCTGACTTTTAAGTTAAAGAATACAGTCTAGGAGGAAAAACCACAGGAAAAGACAACATGATATATTTCGAAAACAAAACAACAAAAGGATCAGCATATTAAGAATATAATTGGAGTGTTTGTAACACAAAGGATATATGTCTGAGGGAACAGATATTCCATTTTCCATTATGTGGTTATTATGCATTACATACCAGTATCAAAATAGCTCATATATCCCATAAATATATACACCTACTATGTACCCACAAAAACTAAAAATAAAAAGTTAAAAAAGAAAGACTATAAAGTGTGGTGTAAAGAATAGCAGATGGAGAGAGAAGCAGATTCCAATTTACGAAGGAGCATGACTTTAACGAATTTTGGCTTACAACAGAATATAGAGAAAATGTCAACCTCTTTATTTTACCTTTAAAAGATAGATGCAGTTTTTCACAAACTCTTTTCCACAAATTAAAATAAGTTTATGTACTTAAGTCTAGAAAATAGCAACCTAAACGGAAGGACAGAAGACATAAATCACAAATGAGGCATTAAAGAGCAATTTTAGATGCTAGACAATACCAATCCTGAATCGAGAAAGAAAGAAAGAGAGAGAGAGAGAAAGAAGGAGACAAAGAGAGAGAGGGAGAAAGAAAGAGAGGAAAGAAAGAAAGAAAGAAAGAAAGAAAGAAAGAAAGAAAAGAAAGAAAGAAAGAAAGAAAGAGAGAAAGAGAAAAGAAGACAGAAAAAGAGAGAGAGAGAAAGAAAGAAAAAGAAAGAGAAAGAAAGAAAGAAAAGAAAGAAGGAAAAGAGAGAAAGAAGAGGAGGGAGAAGAGGAAAAGGAGAAGAGAAGGGAGAGAGGGAGGCAGGAACTAAGATGAGTGTAGGGAAATGTAAGAGATGATAAGAAGTAATTTCAGAGATACCTTTCTTGAGAATCTGTGAATATAATTATTTGGTTGGAAATTTTGAGGTAAGTGTCTACTCAGATGCTAGGCTTGAAGCTTGAGTTGTGGAAGTAAGTTTCAGAATTAAGTTTACAAAAATATACACAGCTTAATATTGGATTATTTTCTTACACTACTAAAAAAGTATTAGCATATTGATAAGGCAACCCAAATGTTTATAGTATACATGGCCATGGAGTTTTGCATTAATATCTTATGGAAAGATTTTGAGTTACATGCTACTATCTTGATTATAAAATTTTTTTACTAGAGAAGCTAAGGGGCTAGATTGGGCACATACCCTGTAAGAGACGTTACATACAAAGAGTTTCCAATACAAAAGTGGTTAGTTTATCTAACAACTCAAATAATCAGATAAGTAAAATCATGTTACCTTGTTAAGCAGGATAATCATTTTATGTGTGCTTCTCTTCACAGCAAGTAAAAATTTTTAAAAAATGTAACAAAGGTTATGACTTAATAAAATTAATAATTTTCCCACCTAGTCAAGTGTATTCTTTTTTTTTTTTCTGTCGCCCAGGCTGGAGTGCAGTGGCGCCATCTCGGCTCACTGCAAGCTCCGCCTCCCGGGTTCATGCCATTCTCTTGCCTCAGCCTCCCGAGTAGCTGGGATTACAGGCATCTGCCACCACGCCCGGCTAATTTTTTTGTATTTTTTGTAAAGACGGGGTTTCACCATGTTAGCCAGGATGGTCTCGATCTCCTGACCTCGTGATCCTCCTGCCTCAGCCTCCCAAAGTGCAAGTGTATTCTTAAGTGAAACTAGAATTCTGCTTTACAGAAAATGTGTGATGGTAAAGAAGATCATGATTTCTGGTGTCATTTGGTGCCACCATCTTGGTTTGTACCCAGGTCTCAGTAGTTTTGTCAACTATAGTTTTTGCAAAATCAGTACAAAATCCAAAACAGTGAAAAAAAGAAAATAATATCTTAGTATTATCTTGATATTAGATTTTATCTCCTAATAGAGTCTCAGGGACACCCAGGATGCTGCAGAATATACTTTGCGAATCACTGCCTTAGGCAACTGGTAAGGGCAATTCCATGGAGTCAAAGTCAAAGTTCTTTTTTGTTTTTCCTTTTGCTGAAAAGCAACATCAAATTCTTATAGGGCTGTGGTAGCAGAAATGTTTAGCCAGTCTACTAAACATTTTATTTCCTCTTTGAAACTTAGGATATTTCCTTGGCAGCTGATTTCAAGTTTTAGAATTCACTAGGGACAATGATATGTCTTCCTCCAAAGTGGCTCATATAATGAATTGGAGTCAAAGATTTTTTTCTTTCTTATTTTTCTATTTTGACTTTATTTCTATTAGAAAATCAGTTCAGAGTTACTAAATGATGGTAGTTTATTCCACAGATATACAAGAATATTAATGAGACACACACACACACACGCACACACACACATATATATACATGTGTGTATCTTTTTTTCAAGCACAAAGGGAAACTGCAAATTTAAATCTCAAGAACCATCCCAAAAGAATTATTCAAAGTATACAAAGTATTCCAGACAGGAATATTAATATGATTTACATGTGACATAGGAATAAAAGTATAAAGCATTTTATATCATTGATTACTGCAGTAAACTCTAGTTGGCTGCAGAGAGGTAGGCAAAATTTAGTGGAAAAATAGAGAACAAGATGAGCCCTCAAATAAGGGCTCCAAATATCCAAATAAGATGGTATAATACTTCATACGCATTTTTTTATAGAAAGTACATGTTTTATTTTCCTCTTCTTAAAAAATGTTAATAAACTAGGACACATAATAAAAGCTAGAACTACATGTTCTCTGTATTTATCCACTTACATGGTAGAACTTTTTACTTTTACTTTTCATTATTCTCCTTCCCTAGAGATTGCTGACGTTCCTTATTTAGTTGGGAGGGTGCAGTTGTCCCTTATTAGTTGAGAGGGTGCAGTTGTCCCTTATTTAGTGATTTTTCCAAACTATTTTTGCAAAAATTATATTCCTTGGCTGTGTGGCCACTGAAGTCTCTGTTCCATATATTTGTGGCCAGCCAGTGACCTGACAGAAATTTCCTTGAATGCCTGAATTCAATAAGAAAAGAGAGAAAGAAGAAAATGTTCTGTCTCCTTACGTTCCCCCTGCAGATACTGCCCAGGAAGTCTTCTCAGACCAAGGAAGCAGAAACAGTGGCTAGTCCATGCAGTGATCCCTCAGTGAACAGTCAGGCAGATCACACAACCTCGATTCCTAGAGGCAAGGTTCTTAGCGGCCAATCTGGCACCAGCAAGCCACCTCAGGAACGTCGTTCACTATTCCTACAGCTGTGTACCATGGGAATGGAGGAGGGGAGATGGTAGCTGCTATGCAAAATGACAAAATTCATCAAAACTTATGATCTTTTTTCTTCACCAGCATTCTCTTCAGTGCTGTAAGTATTCAGCTATACTCCAGAGTCCTGTAACAGTTGTTCCCATGGTTTTGTCAACTAAATCGTTTTTTTTTTAATTGAAGAAACTAATTCTTGAAACTTCCTACTCTGCCATCCTCCATGATGTCACTTTCACAATGCAGACACAAATTTTAATGACATGACTAACTCCTTTTTTGGTACAATCCAATTTTCCTTATTACCTTTCTCTGTAGGTAATTCAATATAATATTTTGTTTTGTTCATAGTATTTAATTCTATTCTGTTACTAATTGTATACTTAAAATTTTTACTGCTAAAAGTATTGATACTGTTATTCTCTTTCATTTCCTAACCATATTTTTCCTTGGCATTTTTTCATCCAACGTTACCATTTATTTAAATTTTTTTTATTTCTCAGAATATTTGAATTAAAATAGTCTATCTCTCCATTCATGGTTGACTACAATATTTGACTACAGTATCAATAGTTTTTGTCCTTCAGAAACTTTCAATTTTGTTGCCCAAACAATTGAATTGGCAATTACAAGAAATAAATAAAATTATTTAGTTTGTAAAAATTACCACTTTGTAACTTTATGAAATAAATTAAATTCATGGAAGAAGAATCAGACAAATTAATTCCCTTATGTACACTATTCCCAAAAATATGTAACCATGAAAATTAAATTTTATCCTTAGGAATTCTTTAGGAAAAGTTATAATGTAGTGAAATGTTGAGTCACCTAGAATAGCAAATTGTATTTATCCTAAAAGCCACAATTAGATGATAAATGGGCACATAACAAAGTTGGCAGTCAAGTGCCCAATGAGAAAAAAAGTTGCAAAAATCAATTCTATTATAGATTGCAGCATCAACTACATATTTCTTTTTAAATGATTTTAAAGTAGCACATTCACTGTAAATGCATCAAGTTGAACCTTGCTTTTGAAGTTGATAGCATTGGCACTTCAGTTCCTGTGGAAAAAAAAATTAAAAAAGAATAAAATTGTGCCCTCCATGAGAAAAGTTCAGCTCTCTAGAATTTCATCCCTAAAATTTGAAAAGACGAATTAGTCAATTTTTTTATTGGTTTTGTTTCTAAATCGTTTTCTTATGTATAAAAGTCAATGAAATGTGAACTTCGATGTCATTTCTGTAAAAGTTAATCATTAGTTTTGCAGTGATTTCTGGGTAATAATCTGTGGGAAAAAAAGAGACCTGTGTAAAACAATCTGATACAGATCTTTAGGTTTTAGCTAAGGAGCATGACTTTATGGTGGTTTGCATGCTTAGTCAACATGGACAAACTAAGATTTATTTCAAATTAGATAGTAAAATGAATAACAAATACTTCATTTTTCCCTGTCACCTCAAGTACAAAAGGGAAACACAGATGTAGACACTGTAACCTAAATAAGCCATGTTCCAGCAAACACATGCTATTTTTCTCCATTACATTCTTGACGTAGTCTGACCTGTCCAAATATAGGGATTTCGGTGACACTAAATTATATTAGGACTTCTAAAAATTTTAACTTCTGATCCACTGAGAAATTAGAGTTAATGTAAAATTCATGTCCAGTTTGTTAATGAAATAAACATGTTGTCAACCCTAACCCATTTTGTGAGAGCCCACACTACAGCTCTCCAAAATCATTTGGGAAAATAAAAAAGCATTTCCTTTGTTCTGTTTAGAAAGGGAAAAATAAAAGGAAAACAGCTACTGTCCCTAGCCTGGAACACTGAAATACAACTCCTGTTCATATTAGATGGCAGATTCCTGCCTTTAATTAATTGTTGCAATTAAATTTAAGAAGAAATACAGGTGTTGCCTGAAGCATAATCCTCAAATTTCATGTCTTCAGAGGCCTAGAGATAATTTCAAAATTGTATGTGTGATAAAATATAAATAGTGATAGCGTGAGATAAAATACCTATATACAGTGTCATATTCAATATCCAAATGAGTAAAAAATAAAAATGTGGAAAACTCCAAGATTTAAACAATAAATTAACTACTAATAAAGGTAATCACATCTGAACACTGAAAATATTACAAAGTTAGCAAATTAAAATTACATTTTAGAGTATACATTAGAGAATACTTTATCCACCAGTAAATGTTCACTAGCTCTCTCATATATGCTTTACACGGTGAGAGTTATGATGAAATAGAAGAGAAATATAACTCCTACTCACAAATTTTTTAACAATTTTGACTGGGCAAATAGAAATGAATAAGCATATCTGTGATAAAGAAACATAATATGTTGATATGAATTTTGACTTGGACATATATTAATTATAAAAATGTATATTTGGATTTTACAAGTAATTTTAATTTACTAACTTACAAAAAGGAATGATCAAATGGCAGGTACTAGGGATTCCAATTCTAGGTAAAATATGGAATGCAACATGGCTTGTGCCATGTGCTTGTTCACTTCAACTCTAATAAGAAAAAAAATGAATTGACTATAAAATAGTAGGCTTTTTTAAAGACCACAGAAAGAAGAGAAAGAAAAAAACGATAAAAGTACAAAATTTCATCAAGATGTAAGTTCCTCATGGGAAAAAAGACTCATCCTGGGTAGAGTGTCAATAAAAAGATAAGACAGCCACTTATGAGATCCATCAATCCCACTACTAAGTATATATTTAAAGGAATTAACATCAGTATGTTAAAAACATATCTGCACACCTATGTCTACTGCAGCATCTTTCATAATAGCCAAGATATGGAAGTGTTCGTCAACAGTTGAATGCATAAGCTGTGGCACACATGCACAATAGAATACTGTTCAGCCAACAACAACATCAAAAGGAAATCCTTTCATTTGCAACAACATGGATGAGCCTGTAGGACGTTATGTGACATAAAATAAACCAGGCACAGAAAGACAAATACTGCATGATTTTATCTATATGAAGAATTTTTTAAAGTTGAATTCATAGAAGTAGAGAATAGAATGATGGTTAACCAGGGCTGGGAGGCATGTTGGGGAAATATTGGTCAAGGATACAAAATTTCAGTGAGATAGGAAGAATTTCAAGAGATCTATTGTACAACATAGAGACTGGTGAATAACGATATTTTGTAATCTTGCAAATCACTGATATTAGGTTTTAAGTATTCGCACTACAAAAAATAGGTATTTGAGGTAATGAATATGTTAACTAGCTTGAATGCGTAATTCTGCTATGTACGTATACATATTTCAAAGCATCATGTGGTACACATTAAATACATACAATTTTTACTTGGATTAAAATTAATTAAATTAATATTTTTAAAAGACAAAGCCACCCTTGATAAAATAAAATTTCTAAAGACCCACTTGTCAACACTTTCCCTGGGATTGCACCAAGTGCATGAATTGGTACACAGGAGGCTGAAGGAAGAACAAAAGATTTAAGAAAGTGTTCCTTGGAGCATTCAGACCCTTCCTCAGCCCAGGCTGAGATAGTGTAAGAGGGTAGAGAGTCAGGACATCTCAGAGTACACTGAGTACACTGCAGCCACACCCTGAAAGCTAGAAGAGGGCAATGGTGAAGATAGATCCACAGAGGACATAAAACTAGAGGCTGGGCTGTCCTGGAGAGCAAAGAAAATGTCTTGGTAATAGAGAAAGATTGCAGGCAGGCTGTAAAGAAGAAAGAGCACACACATGATTCAGAAGGCTGAGAAATTGGCTATAAAGCTGCAATATTTCTATGTGGTCTCTCTGAAGGGAAAGACTTCATCCCACTCTCAAAAGATTTGAAGATAATAGTGAACTAAAAATAATTAAAGCTATAACAAATCCCCTACTTAATCTAACTAAACGTTATATTTACTGAGTCCCTCATAGAATTTGCCTGGCAGACAACATGCCCTTTGTGTGGTTGAATGTTATTTACTTGAGCCTCTACGGTGCTTTTGAATGAATGTTTGGTGTATAGTCAAAAATTTTAAGATGCACACACACAAGCAAGTAAATCTAAACCATGTATAACACAGGAAATAGTCAATAGAAGAAACACGAAGGTGATCTAGTTGGAATTTTCAGAGAAGAAACAATATAATTCTAATAAACATATGTTAAAAATGAAGTAGAAAAAAATGGAGAACACACATGAACAAATGATGAACTTCAGGAGATAGATGACATATATAGAAAAATTAAATCCCAAAATTGAGAAAAGACAATATCAAAACTGAGTTTTTTCTCAATAGACATAAGAAAAGGTTAGATTCGGCAGAGTAAAAAACCAGTTATCTTGATAGTATGTTACTAGAATGTATCCAAACAAAAACAAAAGACAAAATGAAGGTGGAGGTAGTGATTAAAATTCCTATATCTTTCTTGCTTGATCTGGTAAATAACAAATAACAGAAGAAATTTAAAATTTTGTTTCACAATAGTTCTCCTTGAAGAGACATGCTTCAAAAAGTTTCGGAGACAATTTTTGCTTAAAAGTATAAAATGATGAGTGTTATATACTTAGCTTACACTCTTTCAATATGAGAATTCTACTCTCCTTTAGTTATGGAAGCCTCAATAATATTTATTTCCTTTATGTCCTTATTAATAAATACAATATAAGATAGCTAATAATTGCTAAGTAGTTTAGAAAAATGTGTTCTTATTATTTTGAGAAATATATATAATACCCCAATATCATAGATCCAATTTCACTTGTTCAGGATAATTTTAATGATAATATTATTTTATCCTTACTTTTTCTCGTTTTAAGTGAACAAGTTGGGTTTATTATGTATTGCAGTGAAGGAGAATGCCTGCCATGGGGAACTGTTAGGCAACTGTTCTCCAATCTAGCATTCTTTTTACTACATCTTGCTTACAAGACAGTGTTTGAAAGCATATGATTCAGATGTGCTGTGGTTTTTAATGAAACCATCAAACTGTACCTGAACATGATGAAAACGAGTCCCTACTAAAGATAAAGTGAGGAAAAGAAAGATCAAAAATAGAAATTTTGAGTAGGGTTGATTTCTGTGCAACAGCCTCCAAGAGTTAAAATAGAAAGTTCCCAACAATCCTTGTGCTTTTAGCCACAGTTTGTTTCCTTAGATCTATAAAGTGTATCATCACTTCCACTATGTACAAAGTAAGTTACAATAATGATTGGTAGTAAAGAGTTAATGGTGTAAGAGTAGGCTTCATATATTATTCAAGAAACATCTGAACAAGGTCATCTACTTATTTTCTTTCAACTGCATCTGGTTGCAGAGTCAGAGAAGTAATGAATTTTTTCTTCCTGCCAAGTTACTGTAAAACAAAGGTTTCCCCATGATTTATCTAAAGTTATCTGTGAAGTGACCGATTAGTGAAATATTATTCCAACACATTTTTCTCACACTTATAAAACTTTA
Source organism: Homo sapiens (assembly GCF_000001405.40). Taxonomy (NCBI): domain Eukaryota; kingdom Metazoa; phylum Chordata; class Mammalia; order Primates; family Hominidae; genus Homo; species Homo sapiens. Next base: position 83,485,292 of record NC_000013.11, read on the forward strand.
ACTGCTGATAGTGCATAAAATCTCACAGACTTAAATGTCATCTATAATTTCATGTCAATAGGAAATGTCAATTCTGTAGGAAAAGTCTAATATTTATAGACATTTCAAAGCTCTCATTAAAAAACAGAATCTCTAAAGAGTGAATTAAAAATTGACTTTCATAATTGCATGTAATTAAATTGTGAATATGGTGATATGAAAGAATTATAATCCTTCTCCAGCTAACCTATGCCCAGTATAATTTATTTTCTTTACCTTTATAAGGAACCTAGTCAAATATAGAAATATATATTTCTGTATAATTAATTGTTTCATGGCCAGAAGTTTTCTTTCACAAAATAAACATCCTCTTTGTGGAATAAAATAGTGGAATGAAAGAAAATCATGCCAAAGTCTTCTTTTCCTTTTTTCCGGAGGTACACCATTGAAAAAATACTTTTTGATGGTTTGCTTACTTTTGTCAACCATCTTACAATGTTCTAAAATAGCTTTTCTATTTTTCATTTTAACTCCCCTTATTTTATTTACATCACTTTTTTGTATTTATAGTTTACCTGATTTTGCTCCAGGGGAATGCAATGCCTTGTTGGTTAATAAAATTTAAAGTGTATTGAACGTGTAAAAATAACCTCGTAATATGTAGGCTACTGTTACTGCAGTGCCTACTAAATGCTAGATGCTCTTCAGCTTTTTTACACAAATTAAATGTTTTAATTAAATTGATGCGTTTCCGGTTAGTAAAGATAGTCCCACATTATAGGTTAATAAAAATGAAGTTCAAAGAATGTGATCACCTTGCTAAGGGTATATTGCATTGTCGAGCGAGAGAATCAGAATCTGAATCTAGTCCTATGTGATTGCAAAGTTCAGATAAACTGTCTACGCTTTGAAGAAAAATTGATTTTAAAGCGGTATTTTCATAGTTTCTGCAAAATTTCCACTGGCTTTATTACTAGAAAGAACATTCCATCACTGTAATGCTGAGGAACCCTAAAGTGAGCACTGCTCTGCTACCTTTGCCAAATTCCTTGGAGAGAAGACAGCAAGTATTCTACTTGCCACTACTGAGCACCTTCAATTTTTACAACTTCTTAAATGATGGTGCTTACTAACAACCTCAAACCATGCCCAATTACTTTCTCAAACACTCACCTTAAATATTACAGCTATTTGTTAAATTGTCATTTTAATTTATTAATCCTCTATACTTTTACAAAAATCTCATTTCAAAGTAAATTAAATAACACTAAATTATGAATAATAAAAAGATACCCAATATTTCTGTATTTCTGTAAAACATAGTATTTCTGTAAAACATACTTTCTTAGGTGAAGTTGAGCAGTGAGTCCAGCTGGGCTTCCTGGGTCGAGTGGGGACTTGGATAACTTTTCTGTCTAGCTAGAGGATTGTAAATGCACCAATCAGCCTTCTGTGTCTAGCTAAAGGTTTGCAAATGCACCAATCAGCGCTCTGTAAAAACAGACTAAACAGCACTCTGTAAAATAGACCAGCGCTCTGTAAAAAGGACCAATCAGCAGGACATGGGCAGGGTCAAATAAGGGAATAAAAGCTGGCCGCAGGAGCCAGCAGCTCAACCTGCTCGGGTCGCCTTCCAGGCTGTGGAAGCGTCGTTATTTTGCTCTTGACAATAAATCTTGCTGTTGCTCACTCTTTAGATCCACACTAGCTTAATGAGCTATAACACTCACTGTGAAGGTCTGTGGCTTCACTCCTGAAGTCAGTGAGACCACGATCCCACCAGAAGGAAGAAACTCCAGACACAACTGAATATCTGAAGGAAAAAACTCCGGACACACCATCTTTAAGAGCTGTAACACTCACCATGAGGTTCCACAGCTTCATTCTTGAAGTCAGTGAGACCAAGAACCCACTGGTAGGAACCAATTCTAGACACAAAGTGACCCTGAAAAAGACTGAGATGGAACCGTTTATATGAAGATTATTAAAGAAGGCTCTCAAGAATAATGCTTGCAAAAGAATGAGCGGAGGAGGTTTGGGAGACGTAGAAGGGCTTCAATGCAGCTGCAACAAGTACGCCATCATAGCAAAGCATAGTTAAGAATTTGGAACGGCCCTTTAAAAAGATTCCATCTTGACTCACGTGGTCTAGGCCTTTCTACTACCAGATTGACCTGTCATCTGTTATGGACTACATCCTAGAAAGGAATAGATTTTGCTGAGACAGTTTTCTTTGGCTGAGGTCAATTGGTGTGAGCAATCATCATCCCAAACTCCAGAAAGCTAGGGAAATAAGCACCTCATTAGCAAAGAGATTTGTTTAGTGCAAAACAGTAACCATTGCATATATCATTAAAGGTATGAAAGTGTCAATCCCCTAGTATCCATTAGAAATAAAAAGACAGAAATAGATCATGCAACTTCATAAATTTGAAATCTGTATGAAAAGGACTGGAAAAAGAGTGTGAACAGATATATGAAATTTAATTGTATTAAAATGTGCCTATTCATAGCCTGCAGACAAGGAATATCTAAGACGAGAAAAAGGGGCTTTGGAAGTTCTGTTTACAAAGACATCTTTCATGACAGATTTGTGCTGTATTATGAAAGAGAATCTTATTCTTTTCACATGAGGATGTGGCCAGTGTTTTTGTTTGTTTATCTTAATATTCATAGTGTATCATATGCTAACGAAATGCAAATAACATCAATTCTGGATTATTCGCAGGAACTTATAATTCATTCCTGAGTAATTTAGATGGCAAAATAAAAACAAAAACTTTGTCATAGGTTGTTTATGAAGCTTACAGTGTATAAAATTATAACTCATTCATGTATATTTTAACACAAATTTGTAGTGTCATATACAGATTTGAAAAAGTGTAGAAAAATTTTGAATAGGAAATGTTACTATCAAAAGTAAAATGAACTTAATTTACATGGATAAATATGTTTCTCTGTGTAATTAAATTAACTTTTATCCAGTTTCTTAAACTTATTTCCTTTAACATTTTGACCTAACAAATAAAGTAGGTGAACATTCTAGAAATAAAGCATTGATATTATCCTCTTAGTTATGGGGAAATACAAAATATAGCTAAATCAAGTGACATCTTTTAAAAAATAAAACAACTATTTTTTTTCCAGGAATGTATAAAGATTGTTGATTAACCCATCTACCTAAATTGTAATGTATATGTTAATTAAACTATGGATGAGTACCTTTTCTAAAGATAATCAAAGAGAGCGGACTTCTTTGACATCCTGTAATTCTAAAAATATTTCACAAAATACATTTTTCTTTTTCATTATAGGACACAACAATTTTAGAATTTGAAGTTTTTAATCCATTAAAACAATTTTCTAAGAAATAAGATGACTAATAATTTAATTATATTTTTAAAGTTTGCACATTAAAAATCATAAGCCCATTACATTTCTGTAAAGCAGCATTCTCTACTGGGAGGTTTAAACTAAGAATCCTTCCTAAGTTCATATATGAATCTTCTCTAAATTGCAAATTTAAAGAAAATAATATGGTAATATTACTTTACATCCCAGTTTTGCAAAAGCTAGCTAAAATAGGTAAACATTAAATATGTATGGTTTTCAATCTGTAGAATTTTCTATTTTATGCCAGATGATAGAAGTTTAAATTATATATAATTTATTATAATACATTATTATTTATTTATAAACAATTTTACTCTAATTATATTCATTCATTTTTATTTTCTTTTATCTTTTCTATGAAATATGAAACCACCACATTTTATTACTTTCATTCTATATCCCTTTAAATGATTGTTTTAAGTAAACGTATCAATAATCAGAGTTATTTTCTATCACATCTGATTCTAAAGTGTTGTATATTATACATTACAAAATAACATCATTTAGTAAAAAAAGAAATATACCGTCGCTAAAATTCAAGTGATTTTTGTTTTGTTTAATATGAATATCATATTAGAGTTTTCTAATACAGAATCAACATTTGTTACAACAGACATATACTAATTATTATTGATCTCTCAATTGCCGTGCTTATAGTGTCCTCAAGTAATTAAGTGTGAGTAACTCTTGGCCAACTACAGGCATGCTCATTATTAAGACTCATTCATGAATGCCGGCCTCTAAGAAACTTTTCCTAAATACCCACAAGAGCTCAAATTCAGCTAAACTTTCTCTGCATCACTCCATGTCTTCAAACTTTTACCTAATTATTTAATCACAATTTACAACCCTTGAGGGCACTCTTCAAATCACCAAATTTGTGTATGGGATTGTTTGTGGTACCATAATATATTCCCACAGCTTCACCCACTGTTTGTTGCAAGGTTTGCACTCAGTGACTGTCTAATGACTTAACACTTTCAGGGACTAATTAATCTAATAATTACAATTTACAGTTCCCCAAGGATTACAATAAGAAATTCAAAGTATTTCTATAAACTTGAAAAGAAAAATATATTAAAAGCTTTTGAAGCTAAAGTGATGCTTGTCCAGTATATTGCAGAGTTCATTGTAATGATTCTTAATTAAGCAAAATATCCCTTAACTCCATTCTATATTTTTATATTTAACTACATAATTTGCAATAATTAATTTGCTATTATTTATATTTTTTGTAAAGCTTGTAAGTATTGTTTCCATGTTATATGTTTTCCTTTTATTTACCTTGATGGATGGTCACTTTAGATTAGGGTTTGTAACTCTAACTGAACAGTTTTTAAGTAAAAGTTGACCTGCTAGACGATTGCACATTGGAAGAAGTCAGGCATAAAAAAATTATGTCAAAGTGAAATAAATGTATGTATCCGAAAATGTGAAATAGCAGTACATATAATTCAAGACAAAAACAATCAAGTTTCTGAAATTGTTTAATTATGAAAAAGAAAGAATTCTTAGGAGAAAGGAAGTAGAGTAATATTATTTTAATTTCTAAAATAAAATTTAATTTTGTTTCTTTCTGTTTTGCAATGATTGATGTATAAATTAAGCATAGATTAATTTGTTCAAAAACATTTTATTTTTAAGAGACAGAGTCTCACTCTGTCACCCAGGCTGTGGTGTATTGTCACCTACCTAGCTCACTGCAGCTATGAACTCCTGGGCCCAAGTGATCCTCCTGCCTCAGCCTCCCAAGTAGCTGTGAATACAGACACGTGCCACCAAATGCAGCTAATTTTTTACTTTTCAGTAGAGACAGAGACTCTGTATGCTAGCCAGGCTGGTCTCGAACTCATGGCATCGAGTGATCCTCTCACTTCATCCTCCCAAAATGCTGAGATGATAGGAGTGAGCCACCGTTCCCAGTGCAAAAATAATGATTATATAATTTCCAGGCCCTCTAATGGATTTTTCAAATTAAATATGAGAGCAGGTAAATTTTACCCTTTAAAAACTCACAATGATTTAAAATTTAAAAATCGTCTGACCTGTTGAAGTATTTATTGAACTTCAAAAATCTTGCATTGAATTATATAACAAACAGAGCTTCACAGAGTGGTACAAAGTCATATGATTTTAAAATATTCAGGATGGAAATAAAGTGCAAACTGTTCTCCAACTTACTACTTCATATCCTTACAGAATTCTGACTTTAAAGGACATTTCTCATTTTGAAATCTGTACTGTAATCTATATATAACCAATTTATATTATATTAAAATTTGATTTTCTAGTGTTTTTGTATTATTATGAAAGTATCACACATATAAATATCAAAAAAATAAAAATGAAAAGTAGAGCATTAATCAGAACAGTCTTCTAAGTAGTATTATATTTTACAGCTTTTTTTAAAAAAAATAAAACTATATACTGTCCACTCAGTAATAAAATTTTTGACCTGGGAGCAGCCTACTTTTTCCGGTTTGGGATCTGAAATGATTTGGAAGCTGTTATAAGTGATATTGCTTTGTAAACTCATTTTAGTTCAAAGTTAAACTTTATTGATAGGATTCTTAGGCAGAAGTTATACCTAAAGTATCAAGGGAAAATTGTACAAAATATTTTCTCTTGTACCTTTGAGTGACACAATGGTTAAACCTGCATGTGTCCAACGTTAGCGGTAATATAATAAGAGTTCACATCCGGGTTGTCACTTCTCCAACAGTAAGAAATATAAACAAGACGCTTAAGGTAAGCTACAAAAAATCCCAGGAAAATACACAAACAACTTTATGTTTTGAATACATGATATTTTTCAAAGGTCACCCACTCTAATGTTAGTTACAGTTTTAACCAGCATAGTTATTTGATTTCTTTGAATACAATAGGCTTTCCTTTTCACATTAGAAATTGAGTAGGAGAGCATGTATTATATAAAAGGCTTGGAAAAAAGCACTGGTTGCTTTCAAAAGGCATGGACAAAACCAAAAAGACAGAGAAAATTTACCTCTGCTATCTTAGACAAAAAGAAAATTGCTTAATATATAGATTGTAAAGTAAAAACCAAGAAACAAACAAACCAACAACTCTATTTATCTCATTTGGACCAATGAGCATTAGCATGACCATAATTCCATAACTCACAGTAATATTTGCTGATACAAACTTGAGTTATCACTAAAAAACATGCCATGTTTAATTTATTTTATCGAGGAAGGAAGAGCTGTCTATTTTTTAAAAAGATGTCATTAAAATATTTCATGTGGTATTTTTGCAAACTTTTGCCATGTAAAAAGGAAATAGTCATCTGTAAATATTCCTTTTAAAGAACTTTTAATTTCATCATAATCTCAAGTAAATACTATATTTCACTCTCATCTGACACATAAAATGCATGTTTTCAATGCTATAGTGAAAGATAACATCTTTCTATATCTTTTTTGAATTTTAGTCTTGCTTAAGTTTTGAGAATTACACTAAACAGTTAATACAACCATATAATCAAATTACTACAGTTTTCAGTGACAGTAGTAATGGCAATTTCTGGGAAATCCACATAATGTGAAATAGAAACCTGAATCTTCACCTTTCTTTTAAATAACACCCATAAACATGAAGTGGAAATGAACTCCTTACTATTGCTATTGAGCAGAAATAATGTCCTTCATTACTTCTCCATAATTGTATGTAATATTAAATCGTATTGAGAGTAAATACCCACGTATTTATGTAATTTCTCTTGACTTAATAAATGAATGTGTATGCAATTAATATGTTACTTAAATATTTGCCATTACTTGCTATATTTTTCCAGTCAACCCCAATACTTAATATACATTCGCTGCCATGGTTCAGTGCTTTTATATTTCATAATTTTTATAACTTGGTTAAGTTTTGTGCTTGTATCACATTCTAATTCCTAAGAGTTCTTTTACTGTGTATATTCCATTTGTCTTTTTAACAATTTTATTTAGTTTATATAAATAATATTTGTATATAGGGTGTATTTTTGAATGTCATAGTTTACCATGCGCTGAACAATCATCCTTAACTAGGGAATGACTCACGTTTTGCAATTCAAAAATAATGTTCATAACTCTTTAGGATTAATAGTTATAAATTTCAAAAAATAATATGAACTAGAAACATATGTTGAGAAAGCTTTTACTATAAACAAACATGAGAATGTATAAGTTGTATGTAGGGAGAAATACAAAAGAACCTACAACAGAACACTAAAATACTCAACTTATGAGAGAGTTACATGAGAAGAAACTTAGCAAAGTGAATTGGCAAAATGTAGTTAAGAGAGAGACCAGAAGATTACTGTGTCATAGAGATCAAAAGAAGACTTTAAGTAAATAAATACAGAATTAAGATAGACAGTAGTGACAAGAGGCCAAGTAGAATAAACCTAAAAGATGTCTGTTAGAGAAAATGACAAAGAACCCATCAGTATTTTGAAGAAGTTTGCTGTGAAGGAGCAGTGGGCAAAGAGGTCAGGTCATAGTGAGTTGAAGGCTAATTTAGGAAAAAGAAAGAGGCGGCATTAAATATAACCCTCTAGGTCAGCCAGGATTCAATTTATTTTCCCTGAGTACTTTTTTTCAAATAAAGGATTAACTTCATATTATCATAATATGCTGAGAGGTTTTAAAATGATGCAAGAATTAAAGTAAAACGTTTAATTTTTGCTACTAATGCAGAGGCTTAGTAACATTTAAAATTTTTTAAATCTTGGTATTTGAGGTTGCAAAACTGCCCAAACCTCAAAATTTCTGGATTATCTCTACTACCCTTAATTCCTGCTTGAAAATCAGCCAATTTATTTTTGAGATCATGTCTTAGTTGAATTATTTTATCCAATGCAGCCTCCAACATCTAATATATGATATCACTCTTTTCTCCTTTAAGAGTTCATTGGGTGCATGATCTGGATTTTGGGTCATCTCAATCAACAATTTAAACAATCTTTCTCCACCACCTAATGGGATCTCCATCAATGGGTCTTCTAAAAACCTTTTTGAGGCCTGTATGCTAATATTTAAACCATGCTACACAGTTTATCATTTTTTCTTATGAAACAATTCTATTCCGAGGAATCAATTTCTGTACCAGGAAGGGTAGTTTAGGTTCTACTGGGGTAAGAAGAAGACCCAAATATCTCAGTGATTTACTTTATATGATCATGCTAATAATAACTACACCATTGTTAGAGGTTTGACTAGAAGGGAAAAGATCAAGTGAAGTTGGAAGGGAATAAGATATGAAGAAAATCCTAGTATTACAAGATCTCTTACGTTTTTTTATTTATGATGATGTTTGTTTGTATAAGATGAGGGATATATAAATATATCTGGGTGCTGATGAGAAGGAATTTGGCACCAGAGAGAAAGAAAAAGAGAGGGAAAACATAAATGAAGATAAGTCACTGAGAAGTTGAAGAGATTAGAAGCCATTTACTTCTAATCTCTGGAAGAGGACAACCTCTTCCAGCTATAGGTTATGAAGCGGGGGAAGATACAGAATGATACACAGTTTGTAAGATTTTTATTTTAAAATATCATACCTGATAGTTTTGGGAGAATGGTTTGTTTGACTTTGATTTTCCCTGTGATTACTAAGCAAGTTAATCTCCTTGCTTCGAATAACTACTCGAATAACTATTCGAATGAATTTTAAGGTTAGATATACCTGAAATCACAGAAGAGAAGAAAGTAAGTTAATGGGCTAACAATGGAGCTCTTCAGTATCTATAAGGAACTTTGGATTAAAAATAGAAGTAGTTTTGTGATTGAATTCCTCCTGTGCCCCTAAAAAAACTGTGCTTAGGCTCAAAACATGAGAAACACACTTTCTCCTCTGTCTCTGTCCCTCTCTCTGTCTCTCCCTCTCTCTTTCTCCAAGTGAGCAAACAAGTTTCTTAACCTGTTTTGAAAGCAAACTAGTGAGGAAATAATACTGTAATATATTTTGGCAATAAAATGTGTAATTTTATGAACATGGAATATAGTCATGGGAAGTAAAAAACATGAAATTAGACCATGAAAAAATTACATTGAGAGGCTCCAAAGCAAGGGATAGTCTAAGATAAGAAAATGATGGATTTAACAAGTATTCTGAAAGGATGACTGATGAAAGAGATTAAAGTGTTTGAATGTTTATTTTACCATATGTTTGAACATATGATTTCCAGGTTGGGTCTACACCAAAAGTAAACATTCTACGCTATTTGTGAATTTAAATTCCAATAGAAGCAAAACATAGATTACCAATATACTTGGAAAGGGTTACTAAAATAATGCAATTAATGAGGAAAACTTCAGCAGCATAATTATAAAAAAGGACCCCCCACACCCGCCACACACACAATTCACAACAATCTAGGAGTGTCTGCTGAAAGCCAAAGTATATGTATATACATGGAATTAGATCACCTTCTTCTCTCTTATTCATTTATGATGAATGATAATCAATCTCTTATTCATTTATGATGAATGAAAATCAATCATTTTCTCTGTTAATACAATTTGGATACAATTTACTGTTAATTACTATTTAATGGATGCATAGCTATTTTTTACCATGTGAAATTTACATGTTATATTATCTTCTTGTCTGGTTAATAAATGAACTTTATTTAATTCTGTTTACATCAACTAAATATAAAATTATTATTTGAGATATACATTCCAGTACATAAAAATAAAAATGTTCTTTCCATGGTGATTTTTAGTAAATTCTGAACTAAAATAGAGGCATCTATTGTTTTTATATGACTTTGATACTGAGTTTGTAACTCAGCAAATATATTGGTTTTATCTTGAAAATAAAGTTAAATTTTATTCAGAACATTTTAAGGCAGAACAAGTACTATATTATTAATATTTAAAAACATATATCTATTGATTAATGTTAGCCTTTGAGAAAATTTGAGAAATGCAGTTGTATGTATAAGTTTGCACTATACATATAATCATCACAGGTCTACAGTTTTGTTAGCTTGGTCAAAACTTTTTTAGTCTATTTATATTGGAATAGAGTTACTAAATTTAAAAAAATTCGGCTGGCCATCTTCTGTTAAGATTCAACTGGCCATCTTCTGTTTATCCTTTCACATCCACTCTACCCTTCGTTCTGCTCACTGCCTGGGGAAACTGGCCTATATGAGTTATAGCAATAGTTTTCTTTACTCTCTGGCTTCAAATTTGGTTAAAGATAAATCTACTAAGAGATTACCGTGAGGGAGAGTGAAGCCAGTACATTCCCTTACCTTTCCCCCACAGCATTGCCTTGGATTGGCTGCATCCTCGTCCAAAAGTTAATGCTTCTCTCAAGGCAACTCTTTCTATATAACTCTCCATTTAGGGGTTTGGTAACAACTTGCTTCCTTTCTGTGGGAGGATTACAAGCTCTGTTATTAATCCCCACTAGCCCACGTGTTTCCTCTATTGCCTATCCATACTCTTCTAAATACTTCCCCTTATTACTTTAGTTCCAGTAACTAAAGTTCCTGTTACACTAATATAAATGAACCAACTATTTCCAGCTGGTACTTTGAATATTACAAGGACATATTTTCCAAGGAAATTATGCTAATTTGCTGCATATTGTTAAAATATGGTATAATAATATTAGATAATCAATTTTCTGAGATATAAAAATTATAGTGTATTGAAATTTCCTTTTTTATGTAATTCTGTCTTTTCCCCTAAGCCACATATGAGATTAATTCTATTCTTATTTAAACTGTAGCATCAAATCACCATTGTTTAGAAACATGTTGGTAAACACATATCAAAAACTTGAATTACATCAGTAATGGTATAAGTGATAAGGAAAAAAGTTAAGTAACTGTAACTGCATGATGTGGCTTGTCTGCATCCCCACCAAAATCTTAACCTGAATTATATCTCCCAGAATTCCCAAGTGTTGTGGGAGGGAGCCATGGGGGAGGTAATTGATTCATGGGTGTTGGTCTTTCCGGTGCTATTCTCATGATAGTGAATAAGTCTCATGAGATCTGATGCGTTTATCAGGGGTTTCCGCTTTTGTTTCTTCCACAATTTCTCTTGCCCTGGCCATGTGAGAAGAGCCTTTTGTCTCCGGCCATGATTATGAGACCTCCCCAGCCATGTGGAACTGTAAGTAAAATTAAGCGTCCTTTTCTTCCCAGTCTCGGGTATGTCTTTATCAGCAGAAAAAAAAAAAAAAAAAAAAAAAAAAGACTAATACACTGTATTACTAAAATAATAATAAGACAATCAAATGTTATTTTAACAGGTTAAACTTAGGTAATAAATTGTTTCCCATTTAAATTGCTTTCCTCTAAAACTTATTCCTTTCATTTTTAATACCTTCAACTGAATAACCAAAACGGGAAATAAAGGCATGAATCTAGAGACTTTCATCTTGTTCAGCTCTCTCCAATTTGTCACTATAATATAAGCTATAAACATCTTTACCATCTCTGTGATATATCCCTTTATTTTCACCAGGACGACCAATGCATTGGGCTTAGGTCTCACTGTCTTCCAACCAGAAAACTGTAACATTAATCTTAATTATTTTCCTGTCATGCACTAACCATTTAAATTAAATAAATGTTGAAATTTGTGAATTGGTTTCCTTGTAGTTCCCTGCGGAAGATTATATCTGAATCATTACAAGAAAGAAGAAAGATACTTATACTATGGATTGGGGGCAAGTTAGTTCTAGCCAGAAGTAACAGTCAATGAGACGGCCCTAAGGTTCGGGATTGCATCTGGCAGAGTGAAGGAACAGAGGAGAGGCCATTGTGTGATTAGAATTGAGTGAGTAACAGAAAGAAAGGTAGGTAGCAAAGTCAGAAGTCATGCCCACAATTTAAGGGTCCAACATGAAATTTACATTTATTAAAACTAACATTCTACTGCCTATAACTTATTTACATGTTCACAGGTATCTGCAAAAAAAAAAAAAAAAAAAGACTAAACCAGGCTATTGCAATCATTATTTGAAAGGCCATTTACCAAGATAAAATACTTTTACTGTGGGCACATTAAACATCAGAAGTCAGAGTTGAATAGAGTTTCTATCACATTGTGTGTGTATGTTGTAAGTGTGTGTGAGAGAGAGAGAGAGAGAAAGAGATTTTATATTTTTTAAATTGAATTGCACTGTTCTGGTTAAAGTAATGGAGATGGGAGATTATCTCTCTCAGTCTCTGTTTGTAGGATCCACTATATCAGTAATCTTGTAAATACCAAGTAACATAATAAAGTAGTAAGTACACCCTTATCTATGGAGGATACAATCCAAGGTCCCCAGTGGACACCTTCGAACCCTATATATAGTGTTTTTTCTATACATACATAAATATAATGTAAATTAATTTATCAATTAGGTATAGTTATATATTAATATAATCATAAAACAATATGTCAACATCACTACTCTTGTGTTTGAGGCCACTATTAAGCAAAGTAAGTATTACTTGAACACAAACATGCAATACCTTGATGGCTGTTCTGATAACCAAGATAACCACAGAGTGATTAATAGACTAGGAGTATTGATATAGAAGGATGTTGGACAAAGGGGATGATTCACAATATGGACAGGACAGATCAGTGTGGCATGAGATTTCATTATACTACTCAGAACAGTGCTTAATTTAAAACTTAAGCATTGTCTGTTTCTGGACTTTTTCACTGAATATTGTTAGGCCACAGTTGACTGTGGGCAACTAAAACTGCAGAAATTGGATCTGCAGAGAAGTGGGGACTACTGGAGAACTAATTTAGTAGATTATGTTATAATAGATAAAACTTGAGAAATTAAACTAGAATGTTTGGAAATCATTTTAGAAAATTATATCTGATACAAAATAAATGAGATTGTAACTGTATTCTTTTATAAGTAGTTACATATGAAACTGCATTTTTAAAGCATGGGTTTATTTATTTATTTACTATTTACTTTTCATGAGTCAGGCTTTGCTTCACGGTGGTGAATTTTATATGGCTTGTGTTTCAGGAGGGAGTCAATGGGATAAACTGAAGTGACTCATCAAGAACATGTAATAAAACCCTCAAACACAGATTACATTATGAATAAAATTAACTGCTGAAAAAGAACGGAAAGCAACAGATGATCATCAAGAAAAGATGAAATTTAAGTAATCAGGTCTGTTATTGACTAGGAAGTTGAATTTCAATCTAAACTTCCATGTAAGATGCAAAAATATGGCTGATGAATATAAGATTTTCTAATGTTTCTTAAGTATATAAGAACATTTTTATATGCAAAAAAGAAAAGGTGACTAATGATAATGTTACACATAATGCCATGCTGAGATCATCTCCCAAAGTTTAAGAACTTATAAGAGGATTTGGGGAAAAAAACCTCAAAGAATGTAAGAATATGCATATATATTTCAGATATTTCATCTGATAAAAATCATCTGAAGTTGATTTTTAATCTAGTAGAAATCTCCAACAAGGCTGATACAAGACAAAGAAATTTTCTCTTAGACAAGCTTGAATGATAAATACTTCAAACATTTAAAATAACTCGATTTTAAAACATTGAAACTAATCATGGAAATAGGGAGATCAAGTAGTTTTTGCTGCATAACAAACCACCTGAAAAATCAGTGGCTCTAAAAAAAAGTATTTATCATTGCTAATGAGCCTACAGCTAAACTGGATGGATATAATGGGTCTTTTGGCATCAGCCATGCTCACTTATGCCTTGGGTTAAGCTGGCAAGAATACTGAGGGCTGGCTGATCTAGGATGATATCACCCCATGTGTGGAGGTTGGCTAGCTATTTGTCAAGTGGTCTTGTTCTGATGGCATGGTATATATCCTAGAGAACAGAGTAAAATGAGTAAGGCCTTTTGAAGCCTAGACTGACCAGACTCACTAACATTCTAGCACTTCTGATTCATCATATTGGTCAAAGCAAGTCATAAGGCCAGCTTAGATTCAAGCAGTGGGAAATAGACCCCTTTTAATGAAGGAATAAAGCATTGCATTGACCGTGGATAGAGGGAGGGACAATTCCAAAAACCAATTTCTCATGCTCTTCCCTGCGGTCCTAATAATTCACACCCCTTATACGTGCAAAATACATTCAGTTTACCTCAAAAGGCGTCAAACATACATCCAGTCATAACATCAGGATCAAAATTCATAATCTTATGATCAACATCAGCCCAGACACAATTACTGAGATTATCATCTTTTGATATGGGGACTCATGAATTAAAAAATATTATCTGTCCCCCAACATACCCAGGATACAATGAAGAGGCAGGATAACTACCATAGATATTTCCAGTTATCATGAGGAGAGGAAAATGGGAGGTATAATACTATCACTGTAGATCTATAGAAATTTTAAACTACATCTGAGTCTATCTCAAGAGTAAGAAGTGTTACAAGAACAGACCGAGTTTCTACTTCCTGGAAATCTCTCTCAGTCCATTGATTTATAGCACTCTTGGTTTCTCCCTCCGGGACATTTTTTTTAATTCATTGATCTCATTGGTTACTTTGAAAATATTACCTGCACAAAAGGATAAATATCTTTCTGAGATCAATCCAAATTCATAGCAAGTTAAAGCCAAGAGATATTTTTACAATTTGAATAATTTTCAGACCCTTTAACCCTACTGGATGCTGGGGCTATTAATCAACAAAACCCTTTCAACAAATATTTGGGTTTCCGATATGTCCAGTTATAGTTAATTCCATTTAACTAAACCCACATAGAACAAGCTCAAGAACTCTTAAACTTCCCAATCTCCCAAATTATGTTAAATCTGTGAGATATAATATAATTTAGCTAGAATTATCTGCAGTGTTTATGTTTAAAGATTTATAGATGTAATTTTCTGATTTGATAGATGATAATTGTTTTCAGAATAGTCTTCCTACTATCGAAATTGTAATAAAATTAATTTTTAATAAAAAATTAGCAAAGGTAAAGAATAAAAAAACATAAAATATAGTTTATAAAGGTTTCTAAAAAAACATTGGTGACAACAGGACTTGTGTGGTAAGAGGCTAGAAATGAAGGAAGTTCAAAGATATGGGCCATTTATTGGGCACTGTTTTTCACCTCAAGCCATTTGTGAACTGGAAAGTCGTAAGCTGTAAGATTGAAAAGCAGAGATTTTGATAGGCTATTGAGGCTAAGAACAAAAAAACTTCACTTCGGTGGTGTTGGAAAAGGCAGTTATTTGGAGACTGCCAATCCTCGCATGGTTTCATACAAGTGAGCCTCTAACCTGGAACATTTTCTTACCTGGAAATAATGAGCCCTCACACCCTGTTCTGGGCATCTTACCTTTTTTGAGAATATCTTTACCTGTTTCAGGTTTGATGGGTACTTGTTTCTACTTAAATGTCTGTATCATATTGCACCTGGCCAAGTTCACTGCTATATCTGTCCCGGAAGGGGAAAAAACAGAGTCCTTCACTTCTAGTACAAGGTGAGTGCATGTAGACCATCTCCCTGCTTTAGCTACAGGGCAATATCCACTAACCACGGGGAACTAAAACTCACTATTAAAACAACTAGCCATGGAGAACTAAAGCTCACCATTGAAGCAAAACTTGTTCTATTCTCTATGTGAGTAAAGCATCAATTCATCTAGTGTCTGTCTGATTTGTGGCATTCTTGATGATCCTGACATCTGTAAATCATACAGTGGGTTTACACCCTGAAACTGCTGCTCATGGTGGTAGTTATTGTTACGTTCTTTGCTATCCTTCATGAAGTGGAACTCTTACCCTGGAAGTGGTAATAGTTGTCACTTGCTCAATAAGTGGATACTAAGAAAGAAGGTAAAGGATAGCACCTTGGGATTTTTAGTTGAGACAAGTTAGAAGTAAGAACAAACAGCAAAATTAGCAGCCAGGACCAATCCTAAAACGCAGAACAAACAGTAAATTTAACAGCCAGGAACAAGTCTAAAACACAGAGTAAATAATTTTTATTGTGATTGGCTTAAGGTGTTTTGTCTCTTTACTGCTTAGCATAAGCAAAACAAATTCCTCCCAGAGGTTGAAAATATGACTGGTGACCCAAACATTTCTGTATAATTATGCACATGTCTCTGACATCAAATGAGGAAAAAAAAGTCATGCAAATGCACAAAATTGACTAAAAACCAAGAAAACAAATGAACAATACATATAGTTGCAAACTATTTAGCTATTTTGATCCAGACATTTGATGTATCAAACAAACAAGGACTTTGAAATAACTGCATTTAATATGGCTGGCAAATGAAATGACAATGTGAAGAATTGTAACAGACAAGTGAAAATTGTCAAGTAACCTAGTAGAATTTACAGAAATGGAAAAAAAATGTGGTCTAATTGATGGGACTCTCAATAGATCGGATAGCCACTTCTACATTGCATAAAGTGTGAAAGAAAGAAGAGCGTGGGCGTGGTGGCTCATGCCTGTAATCCCAGCACTTTGGGAGGCCAAGGCGGGCGGATCACGAGGTTAGGAGATCAAGATCATCCTGGCTAACATGGTGAAACCCCGTCTCTACTACAAATACAAAAAGTTAGCTGAGCGTGGTGGTGGGCGCCTGTAGTCCCAGCTGCTCGAGAGGCTGAGGCAGGAGAATGGCGTGAATCCGGAAGGCGGAGTTGGCAGTGAGCGGAGGTCGCACCTGGGCGACAGAGCGAGACTCCGTCTCAAAAAAAAAAAAAAAAAAAAAAAAAGAAGATACGACTGGTGATATAATGAGAAAATGAAAGTAATTCTCCACAACTCTTACGCTCTGCTAAAGCAGCCTGAACTTTAGTGAACAGAAATGCACTGCATCGTTCTTTGGTTAAAGTAGGATGCTACAAATGTGTCTGCAAGTTAGAAATGATCTTTGCCACCTCCATCACTACAGAATTTCATGTTAGTGCTATTTAGCTTGTGTATTTTCTCACAACTGATGTATTTTTTCCTTTTTAATTTAACAGACTTCTAGTTTATTTGTAAACTCATTTTATATAGATATGTATCTAGGATGAGCATTAATGAAGCAATAGTGATGTGCTTAGATTCCACAAAAAGCTATATGGAGACTTAGTATATTAAAAAATATAGTAATGAAATTCTAAACACAAATTCATGCTTTATAATCTCGTTTTACAACTTGAAACATTCACAAATCACACATTTACATATTGTGTATCAGATATCAGATATTGTTGTCTTATAGAGAGAATACAGTCATTTCATTCTGTTTCCTAAATAGGAGATTAATAATAAATTTATGAATAAACAACTAAATCAACCCAACTCATTTTATGACTTATTAGTATTCTCATTATAATGACATAGTAAACATAGGTGGATGTAGCACATAACAATCATTCCGAGAAAAAGAATGAATACATCAATATTGATAGAACAAAGCGATTAGAAAGATGATTATTTGGAGACAAGCCTTAAATCATGAGCAGGAACTGTTTACAAAAGAGTCTAGAATGTTAAGTTAAAGAGTAATTTGGTTTTACTAACTCCTATATTCTTTATCTCTCAATTTAGATGTCACTATTTTCAGGAAATAATTCTCCCGTTATACCTAACCCCTGTATATAACTTCTAAAATTTGAATTTCTAACAGCTAATTCAAATTTAGGTTGTCAATAACTTTTCATTTGCAGTTTCTTCTCACATCTCCTACCCTATTTCTCCTGCCTCAAACTTGTAAGTGATTATTTTTGTGTTCATCCTGTCTATTCCAAGTGTCACATGCTAAAAACCTGAAGGCAGTTCTGTTACCACCTTCATTTGTTCACTAGGCTCAGTATATCCCATGTCCAGTCTATGCCCCTTCTTCTATATGAAATAGATTCACTCTCTTCATTTATTTTTTGCCCACAAAAATTTCAGCCCAAACCATGATCTCTCACATTCTTTCTGTTCTCATTGCATTTTGTTACTAACCCCTTGGTACTCTGTGTCATCCACTCTGGGAACACATCCAAATGTGTTACTCCCATATTGACATCTTTCAGTGAATTTCCACAGTTCATTAAAAATATTTTGATGGCCTAAAAAAAGTATTTTCATGGCATTTAAAAACATTTATGATCAGACTCGTGACTATGTCTCCAATTTTATTTTTCATGTTAAATCTCTACTTTCTTTGAATTTGTTTTCCATTTACTCTATCCTCTCAATTCACATATCATGGTCCTCAGCTAATTTAAGATAGCAACATAGATTGTAACCTTATGTACTTTTTCTCATATATCTGTCAGTCTCCTTTCTCTCTTTTCTCCTCCCCAAACTCCATCTCCTTTTCTCTCACTCCTCTCTCTCCATATATAAATATGTGTGCCTATGAGTGTGTGTGATATGAGCGCATACTCTATACACACATATATGATAAAAGCTATTAAACATATATATATCACATATAATTATTTTGTCATATATATTTCTGTATATGAAACATGGTTGATTATACTCATATTTTATTTTTTCATTAATGGGCACCTTATTGTGTCCATTAGCTTTAAAAGTATTTTCCTTCTTTCAGTTCTGGAAAAATTGCAATTCTTTTTTTTTAATTTCTAAAGGCTTCTAAAGAGTAATAGTAGCTATTCTACAAATAAATAAGAATTTTACTTGTAGTGTATATTTTCTTTTTTTTTTTTTTTTTTTTTTTTGAGATGGAGTCTTGCTGTGTTGCCCAGGCTGGAGTGCAGTGGTGCAATCTCAGCTCACTGCCAGCTCCGCCTCCCAGGTTCATGCCATTCTCCTGCCTCAGCCTCCAGAGTAGCTGGGACTACAGGCGCCCACCACCAAACCCGGCTAATTTTTTGTATTTTTAGTGGAGAAAGGGTTTCACCGTGTTAGCCAGGATGGTCTCAATCTCCTGACTTCATGATTCACCTGCCTTGGCCTCCCAAAGTGTTGGGATTACAGGCATGAGCCACTGTGCCCGGCCTGTAGTGTATATTTTCTCAACAATATTAGACTGTAGAAAACACCAGACATTCTGAAAATATTAATTTTGACATAGAATGTAATAGCAAATTATGTTATCAATTGAAATTGTGACCTATAAAAAATACACTCTCTGACATGCAAGGGATCTCATATTTTTCTTATGCTTTCTTAACATCTTTTAAGGGTCAGAATAAAGATAAAAATAACACAAAGAATTATGCTAGTTAACCACTCCTTGCAAAAAATGGTGAAAAAAAAAGCTTTTTTTCACAAGATAAAAAGACAAGAATGTCTACTCTCACCATTTCATTTAACATAGTACTGGTGGTTCTATCCAAGGCAATTAGCCAGGAATAGAATCAATGACATTTAGACTGGACAAATGAATAAAACTATATTTGTTTGCAGTTACATAGCCCTATATTTTTAAAATCTTAAGAAATCAAGAAGCACACACACTTATTGTATAAATATGAATAAAATATTTTGGAATAAATTTAACAGAATAATTGCAAGACATATACACTTAAAACCACAAAACTTTGAAAGAAACTGAAGAATATATAAATTAATCAAAATACATCTCATGTTCATGGGAGAGAGATTTAATGTTTTTAAGATAGCAATTCTTTGTAAATCAACCTACAAATTAATGCTATCTTTATCAAAATTCCACGCTTTATTTGTAGAAATCACTAATTTTACTTTAAAATTCATATAGAAGTGCAAGATGCCCTAGAATAAGCAACACAATCTTGAAAAATAAGAAATAGTTGCAGGACTCACACTTCTTAATTTCAAAACTCAATACAAAGCTACAGTAACCCATACAGTGGGGCACTGTCATAAAGACAGCCATACTGATCAATGGGATATAATTGAGAGTTGAGAAGTAAACTCTAATAACTGTAGTCAATTGATTTTGACAAATGTTCCAAGAGAATTAAATGGGATAAGAATAGGCTTTTCAGCAAATGTTGTTGGTGCAGTTGGGTATTCACATGCCAAATAATGAATCTCTACACCATAAGATATACAAAATTTAAATAGAAATTTATCAAAGGCCTAAATGTAAAGGCTAAGAATATAAATCTCTTAGGAGAAAACATAGGCATAAATCTTTGTGATCTTGGATTAGGAAATGGCTTTTAATGTACAAGTAGCAACACAAAAAAAAATAGATACAATGGACAATCCCAAAGTTTTGGGATTACAGGCGTGAGCCACTGCGCCTGGCCCTAAACATCCTTTAATTAATTTGGAAATGGCTCATCTGGAGTTTAGGGGAGGAGCCCACTTTTCTTGAAAATATTGGACCAAACATAATTGTGTCTCATTAAATGCAAGAGGAAGAAAGATAAAGATGTAGTAGGAACACAAAAGAGCATGACGCATTATACAAAATCTTTTAGAAATTTTAAGCAGATGGACTTAAGTGGAATGGCCCAAAAGTAAAACATAAAATGTGTTTGAATTTGATGGTAGTGAGAACAGGGTCTGGTCTCATACTTTTTACTGCACAAATTTTCGCTAACTTCTAAAATGTTTGGCCATAGTGTTGGATCCAAATTATACACCTACCAAATTCCACAGCTTTTATTCCTTATTTTGTATCCCAATCATTAAATTGGCTTTGAAACTTGTCAGTGTTACAGTTACTCATATCTTTCATCCATAAATGTTATGAAGTTTTAAGATGAATGTTTTACTCCATGAAAACATGATTACTCTTATAATCTGTATCCTTTAAAATGTTTCTTCATTCTTACCATATCACCATAGGCAAATGGCTCATTTTTTATAAGCTGTTTCATTGTTCATTTTTATGAATGCTACAGGTCATCAATCGGATGGTTACCTTTCTGATGGCAATGTTTATGCATGTTGATATATTTCTTAAGTTAAAAAATACTATTTTATAAGAATAAATAAAGGCTATATCTAAGTTGAAGTTCCCGAAAAATAATATATATTTTGTGCTTTTCTCCATGAGGTACTTTGGTACCTATATAATGCCAAGATAACTAGACATTTGAAATGAAAAAAAAATGCAAACTGTTTTACTAAATTAAAATATTTTAATAGCATCTATTATGCATGTTTAGAATCAATTTGATATTTTACCTTTATTTCTCAAATGTATCCTATCAGCTGGTTTGATTCAGTGGTTGAGACTCAGCTGGCATGGTCCCTGTCTCTGGCTCTGAAACACCACATTTTGCTGGGATGAATATAGAGTGGGAGCAGTAGGCTCAAAGAATCTTTTCCAATCCTATTGAGGCAAAAGAGGAGAAAGGGTCAGATGTGGGTTTGAAGAAATTTTGTGTACATGGCAGAAGAAGCTATCTGGCTACATGGAATAAAAGATCAATCCACATTAACGTAAATACTATGTTTTTTATTCAGCTCAAGTAAACATGAAATTCTGAGAGTTTCTGAAAAGATAGTACAAGTTAATATCATTTCCCCTTCTCATTTGTAAAACTAAATTTTAACTATAGTGTCATTTTCATACATTTCCATTTTAAACATTTTAATAGGTTCCCAATATCACTAGCACTGTGTAAGGGATATAAAATATATATTATATGAATATTATGTTAATGATTAAAAAGGAATATTAAAAACATGAATTAAGACAACTATATTCACCTATAATCCCAGTACTTTGGAAGGCCAACGCGGGTGGATCACAAGGTCAGGAGATCTAGAACATCCTGGCCATTGTGGTGAAACCTCATCTCTACTAAAAATACAAAAATTAGCTGGGCGTGGTGGCTCGTGCCTGTAGTCCCATCTACTCGGGAGGCTGAGGCAGGAGAATCACTTGAACCTGGGAGGCAGAGGTTGCAGTGTGCTGAGATCACACCACTGCACTCCAGCCTGGGCAACAAGAGTGAAACTCTGTCTCAAAAAACAAAACCACAACAACAACAACAACAACAAACAACCATATTCTTTCAAAGATATAAATGACATATCTGGGTAGATTGGGATTTCTCTCCTCAAGTAAGAATCACACACTTATTTCCTTTACCCATTCTCCTAAATAAGGTGACACAATATGGCCAAATAATGTTGACACAGGAGTGAGTATCATGGGATATAAAAATCTAGATTCTATGGTAGCTGCTTTAACTACTTAGTTTTCCAGCAATGAGTGTTGCTATATTGAATAGACCCACACAATTACAGGAGAATATTCATGGGCCATGCACAAAATCAATTTGTAAAGACACTTCTTAGGTGTGCTCATTAATTTGCTTAGACTTATCTCATTGTCTGAGACAAGTGAGGTGAATAGAAGAGGTTAAAAACAATGTTATGGAAAGATATTAAAGTTTTTGGAACTTAGTATTTAATACCATCTATTAATCTACTATTTTTTTGAATTCCAGAAACTTGACAATACTAATTGAGAATTGAAAATTTGATTATTGAGTAGAAGTGAGATATTCTCTTGCACCACTTTACTCTTACCTGTTTCTAGCCATCCACAACAGGGAAATGAAAGAGTAGGCATTAAGAGAGGTTAGCTATTTAAGAAATAACAGAAAAATTGTGACTTCAGGATAAAAGTTAAGAGAAGAAAGCAAACCTCTGCCTGTTGAAACTTTACTGTTGTCTCTCATTGGTATACAGTGTCTGCTTAAATGAGGGAAAGAAACTTAGAAACACATAAGTGAACTAAAACTACCAACACGGTATGGACTAGGCTTTTAGGTTTCTTTGCCTCTTGTAAATGAGATTCTCCTATCCTTCTCTGTCTATACACTGCTGTTTAGTTCTTTGAAACTAATAACAACAGTTCAATAATAAGAGTGTTTCTAAAAGCCATTTCCAAGAAGAGGTTAATAAGTACTTACTTTCACTTGCTTTTGCAATGACCTCATTACAAAGCTACATTAAAACATAAAGGCATTGATATAGCACATATTGCATTAAGGCTGAACCACATTTTTTTTAGATTTGCAAGTAATATCATTTGTCATATTTCACAGATTTGAAAATGTGTCATAATTGGCTATCTCTCAAGAACTCTGGATTCACACATGTGTGATAAGAATAAGCAAGTATTAGCCAGTAATTAGTCAGCTCTCTTTTTTCTTTCCTAAATGGTTTTTTGGATACGACAGTCTACTCTGAGGCAAATTAAAAATAAGAGTTAATCTCAGGTCAGTTTATAACAAAGTCCTGTGTCACACCAGAATTTACATCAGACAATAAAATGTGCTTTAAACAGCTTTCCTTTAAAAGATGATGAATGAACAAATGCATTGGGGTATATTTGTTTTCTCATATACAATGTGCAAAAGCCAAATTGGCTTGCATTTTGGAACATTCTGATACTAATTATTATGTGCTGATAAAGCATACTGTACAGTGGAATTTCCCGTGGAAATAATCCCTGCCTTAAGGGTTTACAGCTTGAATATTCAAAATTGTCCTAGCAGTACAATTCAGACATATGCAACTTAGCAAGCTGACTGGTACAAAACTGGCACTGGTCTCTTAGTTAAACTCCTGTTCCAACACCATGGGTACAGGCAAAAGCAGACATGATCTGCTCAGTTTGTGAAATACCAGTGAGTATTCAATAAAAAATAGCTAGTAGATTTCTACACAGTTCTCTAATATTAAGCCCTATTAAAGTGAACAAATAAAGAAGAGTAAAATATTGGCATTCATATCCTTAAATGGGTTGATTTGGGGCATAAATATAGAAGACTGTCTGGTTCATTTTTAAACCTTTGATTTACTAATCCTATGATCCTGTGATTACTGAAACATACGGATGACATTAAATCTGCTTTATTCTCACAATGTATTCAGGGTAAATTCTTGATGGGAAAATTCAAACAGAAAAAGTGAGCATTGGTGAGTTAAAAGGATTTCAAACAAGAGTGAATAAAACAAAGGTAAGTGTTTTTTTAATCAAAAGATGTATCACATATTTAACAAGTTTTAAAGGCTTTAATAGTATAAAGGCTTTTTGGAAAGTCATATTGCATATATAGATATATATCTCAACTCACCTCAAATGTAAGATATATTAATTGTTGCTAAGTCGATTGTCACTAAAGAGTCCTAATTGATGAATGCTAGCCATAAGAAACATATACAAACAAATGGTCCTGCTTCTGGAGCTCCTATCCCAATATTCCGAGATACTGTATGAACAAATCTATTCTAATATGAAAACACAGAATATAAAAATGAAAAATGAATATATTTACATTGTTTGTATGTATATCTGATATATTACACAGACATACCAAAGATACTGAATATCTTAATGCTGGTGTCAGGAAGAAACATGCCTGATTTGAATTTCAAATTTATTTTTATATGTAAACCCATGCATATATACAATATTTATATATATAATAGTTTGTTCATATATGTTATATATTCATATATAATAGTTACATATACTTAAAAGTAATATGATAAATATAGCACAATTATGTTTTAATATCATAAATAACATCTGTGGTTTATCTGAGAATCTACCTTCTCCTTAGGCTATTTTCTCTTTTTTTAAACTTAGAAAATATAGTTTATTTTCAAATAATAAACCTGCCCAAATTTGATATCTTGGTTTTCTCCATTTTTTTAAACTAAGGAAGCTTTGAAAAATGGTACTGGGAAAGATTATAATCAAACTATTATAAAACAATTACTTACTAAAAGTATTGTATAAAGTGCAAAGTAGATAGGGTTAGAAAAGGCGATATTTAAAATATAACTATGTATTCTATATTATAAAATAATAGAAGTCATTTTCTACAACTTGAATAAAGTCACCATGCTCATTCATATCTGAAATAGCTATTAGCATAATTCAAGATACATCATATCATATAGTATATCCAGGCACAGTGGTATTTAAAAACTAATTTTTGAATGAATAACTATAACCTACTTAAACGTCAAGCAGTAACAATATGTTTCTGCAAAGTAGTGAGGCTATCCTTTGTTCAAGAAACGCATGCTTACTCTATCCCCAAAGGATAACAATTCAGTCTGATTAGCTACTCTGTCCAGAGTCAAGTCAGGGGTCCTGCATATTCCTTGGTCTGTCATGTCTAAACACCACTTATTCAGTCTCTAATTTATAAACAAGAGTAACCACTAATAGACCTATATAGTAAAGTGGGAAAAGTGGGAATCTATTAAATAAATGAATTAAATACTTAACAAAGAAAGAAAATTATGGGTAGATGCATAATTCTTGTTTCTGCAACTTGTTACAGGCATTCTTTATTATATGTTCTGTGCTTCATTTTCTTCCCTCTCAAACTGCACACTTTAGTATGGATTCTATTACTGATGGTGTGACCTAGCCCTTTATTCTTTAAAAAAAATTAGCTCTTAGTTGATCCACTTTTAAGCATGTGTGTGTGTGTATGTGTGTGTGTCTGTCCCTGGAAGTCAATATACACTTTCTGAGCACGTTTTTCTTAATCACCAACATTTATGCCATATTTCCGGGTGATAACAAGTATTATCAAACAATTAACACACTATACCCCTCTCCTTTGGTCTTTTCCCCCCATTTGTTCAATTATGTGAGGAACCTGAATTGGCTTAGTTGAATTTTTATAATTCAGTTAAATCAACCTGTTGTAATCATTCCTTCTTTGTGTTCAAAGATTGTTATAGTGTATAGCTCAGGGTGTCCCAGTGAAGAACAAAAGTAATCTATGCATGAGTCAAGAGTTGTAATAAGAAGTACAATTTATACTTCTAACCCTTATTTTCCAAGAGTACATATTATACCTCTTAACAAATCACCATAGACTTTTATTGATACAGAACATTTGCTCCAGGCCCTCTAGGTTGTTTCTCACAGGGGTATGAACTTCGAAGAGTTTGGGGAAAATGAGAAGACTAGTGAATCTGTAAACATTAGCTGACTGCTCTATTTATTTTGCTGTAAAATGAGTTTCTAGATTAGATTAGGTTTTATTTCCCATAGTTTTCTTTTTATAATGAAATCTTTCATGCACATATCTATTTGACAGAGCCTATAACACATGTCTGTTTCCTAGAAGCAAATGATTCTGGAGTGAGTTTACGGAATCAGCCTTGGCAGCCTGACCTATTAACATGAGAAGGGTGTTTTAAAGATGTTAGCTGGCAGAGATAGCGAGAGAGCGACAGCGAGAAAGATAAATGTTTATAACCAGTCATTTTAGAGATGAGAAAATGAATAAAGACAAGGACTCATGAAATTCAGGCTAATAGCTACATTAATGTGGGGTTTAGATCAAAATCCTGAGAGACACAATCCCAAATGTCGTAATTCTGAATGTTACATCCCTCAGAATCAAAATTCTTAAAGTCTAAATCCCAAAATGTCGAGATCCTAAATGACTAAAATTCCAAAAGTCGCAATCACCAAAGATTAAAACCCCAAATGCTGAAACCCTGAAAGCCTAATCCTGGGGACGGTATTAGTGCGTTTTTGGTTGTATGCAGGATAATTAAATCATGTTAGTTGCATCATGTTAGGTAGAATGATTACATTGCTATTACCTTTATTTTCATTCTCAGAAAACTCAGGCGAGTGGATTAGTCACAAAAAATGGCAAAACTTCCATTTTAAGATGAAAACTTTCATTTAAAAATGTATCATTTTCCTGCATTGGCATTCCTTCCAGCTGATGACATTCAAGGAGCTTTTAAAGAATTAAAGCCAAATTTACCCGAAGAAGCCAGTGAAGTTACTGACAGGTTCGAAAATAATTATTTGCATGGTAGTTTTAAAAGGCACTTACTCAACAGTCTTCCTGTTTGATCACCAGTGTTGTTTCCACCAAATCTATGCCCTGCATATAAATGCATGTGGAATGGGTTACTGTGTACCCAAAACAACATAAAAATGGTTAAAGAAAAAACGGATAGGAAAATTTAATAGGAAATACTGATGTCAATGTCTGTGAAATTACAGAATAATTTTTAAAAGGTCAGCATCATGTAAAAAGTGAGTGTGAACATATTCTCTGAGGAGAGCCATGTCCTAAATGAAAAAAAAAAAAATGTAGCTATTCATTGTGATGCCAGACTTCAAAATGTAGTCAATGATTGTGAAAGTTGACCAGCTCTTATGGACTATCTCTGTGCAGTTGCCTATAATCTATCCCTGTAATACACTTTTTCATATCAAATTTACGTTTTAGTTGGTTTCTTTCTTCTTTTCCTTTTTTTTGTCAAAATTGTCATCATGTATGTCATTTTTGCATCATTTTCAATAATGGAGATACAAATTGTGTGGAGACTTCTTGAGAGTTTTGTTTTGTGCATTTTTTTTGGCAAATTTGACTCCGTGAAAATGCATTATCACAAGGTTGACTTTGTGTGTAAGCATTGTGTGCATGCGTAAAAATGTTGAAACTTTTTCAATAAATGAAGAGATGTCCTTTTTCTACATCTTCATTTTTGAAAAAGGAAATAAATGTCCTGAGTCTCGTCTCTTCAGGTGACTTCATATAACGTTGGTCACCCACCACAAATTTTAACTGATCTCATCAAATGACAGATCATTCATCACGGTTTTGCAGATGATTGCAGTTATAAAGCTGGGTGCATGCAATTACCAGCCATACTGATATGTGTTTATACATTTCTCTTTTTGACTTCTTGTGTTATGAATATAGTTCATCTGTTCATAGCTATTATACCCATGCAACTGTCATTAGTGTACTGGAGTGTTTGTTCATGCTTGCAATAATATGTATGGTATTAGTGCCTATTTTATTTTGTAAGTGATCTATGAAGTTTTCCGTCTCTTTTTTTTTTCTTTTTTTTTTTTGAAACAGAATTTCATTCTTGTTGCCCAGGCTGGAGTGCAGTGGGGCGATCTCGGCTCACCACAACCTCCACTTCCTGGGTTCAAGGGATTCTCCTGCCTCAGCCTCCTGAGTAGCTGAGATTACAAGCATGTGCCACCACGCCCAGCTAATTTTGTATTTTTAGTAGAGACAGGGTTTCTCCATGTTGGTCCAGCTGTCTCAAACTCCCGACCTTAGGTGGATCCACCTGCCTCAGCCTCCCACAGTGCTAGGATTACAAGCGTGAGCCACCACACCCACGCTATCATGTTTTTATATGTTTCCCAAATAAATTCCCTCTTTAGAAATGCGAATAAACATCCTTTTAAATTTTTAAATTATTTTTCCAGAATTATATTTTTGGGGATTTTGCTCTTTCTGGATTTCAACCTTCAGGATATAGCCTTGGGATAGTGTCTTTCAGAATTTTCATGTGCTCTTGTTAATGTCCTCTTTGGAATGATTCAATGAGAATCATATTATATTTTGTTTACCTCTTTTGCCAGTTGTGGACCTGAAAGCTCTAATTATGTCTCTATATTAATATAAAAGTAAAATTTTCTTAACTCTATTTTCATCTTGAACACATTTACATTAAACAAGCATATCCTCCAAATATGAAGCGATGACATAAAAGTGAGGAGGTCAAAAATCCAATCTCTGGATCGATGTCACTGCACAAAACTATGCCACAAGAAACAGTGATTCTGATGATATCTTAGGCAATGTGCTGGGGATGGGGGAACAAAGAGAAAGTACAAACTATACTTTAATAATGGAAATGTTACATGTGGAGATAATTTCATTTTTAACGAATACATTAATTAGGAAAAAAATTTTCTCATTTCTATTGAGAAGAAATTTGGAGAGTAGAAAAAAGCTAAAATTGTAAAAAGTGAGATATAAGATGCATATAAAATAACATTTTGAAAACACTTATACTTTATACCAAACAAAAAAAAACTGTAGATTATCATCCCTATATGCACATCTGTTATATCTCTATATTAAATTAAATATTTGACACTACTCTATATTTTTATTATTATAATAAATTTAATATACCCATTTAAAAAAGTATTTTTAATGTAAAGAGGCAAAGTTGTTTTAAAAGAAGCTTACTTCCAACTTTGCATTGAATGTCAAGGAAAATGCAAAGCATGATACATTGATGAGAATGTGCTGTATTGGCTTATTTTTGCCAACAAACTACTCTGTGTTTATATGTTACAAAGCATGATGATACATATAGTAACACATACTTGATTCTCATATCAACAACCAATTGTCAAAATTTACTCACACATTGTTTTTCTTCAGCTAATATTTGCTTTTTAAAGAAGCACTATGTGTTCATTTGTCATTGATGATTGTTATAAATATCT
Organism: Homo sapiens; assembly: GCF_000001405.40. Classification (NCBI taxonomy): domain Eukaryota; kingdom Metazoa; phylum Chordata; class Mammalia; order Primates; family Hominidae; genus Homo; species Homo sapiens. Next base: position 83,514,849 of record NC_000013.11, read on the forward strand.
TGGTGATAGTAAAAGGGAGTCACAAAATAAAATATTTTAACAATGTTTAGTAGATAGAAATATGATTAGAAAATAGATCACTGTATTATCTTTAAAATGACCATGTTTCACCGAGGTTTCAATGTCCTCACATTATTTTAATGATCATATTATATCTTTTTGTCTGACACCCTCAAAGTGGTATTTCTGATGCCCATGGTTCCTTACCCTGGTATAAGAAACAGGTATAAGTGTTACCATAGTTATTTGGTACTTTGCCTCATTTAAAGACTCATACAAATTACAAGTTCATGTGGCATGTTAAACTTCATATTTCCCCTTGTACTTATACCAAGACCTTAGGAAACCTATGAATAGCCCTCCTCTTGAGTCCTCAAACAAGAGAGATAGACACAGAAAAAGGCAGACAGACATAAAAAATATCAATTGTATTTCTGATAATCACTTATCAGTAGGATATGGCTTAAACCTGTGTCCACAACAGGCTTCCTGTTAACAAACTAAAAGAATTATAGAGGTTTACTTCCTCCGCTTCTATATTCCTCACCTCTTCATCCCCATCACTTGCACAACTGAACCACTATAGGCCTTTGCCAACAGGAACAAGCTCCTGTTACCACACAGAAAAAAACAAACAGAATGATTCATTCCTGCAACCAGGCTGGCTCCCCAAAGAACTCATTTAAGAAATGACTGAGCCACAAGGAGTGTGTATATTTCCCCTCACATTTGATATAAATCTTAATATTTTCATATGAAGTTCCCACTCATCTCTTAACTAAAAAAACTCCCTTATGTAAGTTGATAGCTTTATATATGCTTTCTCAGACTCTTTTTGCCTACAAAAACATTAATACAAAAATAAGGCTTTCCAATTTCAGTTGTGTGACTGAATAAGGGCAAGCACCATAACAGTCTCAGCTACCATAAATCACACACATGAAAACCTTTGTTCATGGCACTTTCATCACAGATGTCAGCATTCTCCTTGTTATCTTGCCCAAAGTAGGATGAGCTCTGCAGAAGCAGGCCATTTGATTCCTATTACTTTTGTGAGTCTTTCCTTCCACTGACAGAACAAGAGCTGTATTCTGGTTTAGACCTCTTGAAATTGATACTACTGGGATAGGTGTTTCTCTAACAGAAGTGAGGTACAAAGTCATTGTGAATTCTTTGTATTGGGATTAGAAAAGAAGTGTTTTTTATCGATATTAACTTTGCTATTCCTATCATGTTTTGGATATAACTTTCTCCTCTTCTGCAGTTCACACCTCTCCAGCTGAAGACAAGGACAAACTAAAGCCTTCCCTTGGCACCTGAAGCATTCAACCGGACTAAGACGGCCCCTCTCTAGAATTGTGAACACTTGTTTCTAAAATAATACCTACATGCCATTCTAGTCCCTTCTATAGTGTGTATTTTGCTTTTTCAGTCCAAAACATGTCAATGTATATGTATTTTAAATTACACTGAATGTAAAAAAAGCATAGTACTTACGTAGCAGAATAAATTAATTTTGTTCTACGTGTTCTGTATTTAAGGGACACATGCCTCATGTACTTTCATGGGAAATGAAAATTTCAATGGTGGATCGTCCTCTAACTCTATTCTCCAGGATGGAAATGTCACTAGTAATCAACAATAGGCAGGTGAGACGAATTTTGGTGGAGAAGTAGAGAAGGCTTGTCCATTTGCTTGTGTCAATGACACTACCCTGTAAAATTTGTGTAATCCAGAAACCACACTTTTTGTGTGATTTACAAAAACTGGATTACAAAAAGCTACAGCATGAAGATACTTTGATTTATCTTTCTGAAAAACTTACTGTAAGTCCATTTTTTAAATTTTACTTCAAATCACCTACAAATGACATTTTTATTTGTTTACATCCAGTGGCAGTTAGTCTATCATAGTAGTATTGAGAGGTGACAACGTGCTAGCAGCCCTTGCTCGCTCTCGGCGCCTCCTCTGCCTTGGCGTCCGCTCTCGAGGAGCCCTTCAGCCCACCACTGTGCTGTAGGGGCCCCTCTCTGGAGCTGGCCGAGGCCGGAGCCGGCTCCCCTCTGCTCTCCGAGAGGTGTGGAGGGAAAGGCGCGGGCGGGAGCAGGGGCTGTGCGCCCCGCTCCTACACCGGTGCAGCTTCGGGGTGGGCGCAGGCTCCGAGGGCCAGCACTAGGAGCTGCCAGCCAGCGCCTGCTGGGCTTGATGGGGGGACGATCTCCCTCTGGGCTGCTGGAGTGGCCTGGCTAGGTGCCACAAAGTCCCATGGCGAGTGCCATTGACAGGCGAAGCCGGCTGGGTTTCTGGGTCTGGTGGGGACCTGGAGAACTTTTGTGTCTAGCTAAAGGTTTGTAAATGCACCAATCAGCACTCTGTGTCTAACCAAAGGTTTGTAAATGCACCAATCAGCACTCTGTCTCTAGCTAATCGGGTAGGGGACTTGGAGAACTTTTGTGTCTAGCTAAAGGATTGTAAATGCACCAATCAGCGCTCTGTGTCTAGCTAAAGGTTTGTAAACGCACCATTCAGTGCTCTGTCAAGACAGACCAATCAGCTTTCTGTAAAACGGACCAATTAGCTCTCTGTAAAATGGACCAATCAGTAGGATGTGGGTGGGGCCAGATAAGGGAATAAAAACAGGCCGCCCCAGCCAGCAGGGGCAACCTGCTGGGGTCCTCTTTAATGCAGTGGTAACTTTGTTCTTTCCCTCTTCCCAGTAAATCTTGTTGCTGCTCACTCTTTGGGTCTGTGCCACCTTTGTAGCTGTAACACTAACCGCTAAGGTCTGTAGCTTCACTCCTGAGGCCAGCTAGACTACAAACCCACTGGGAGGTTGGAACATCTGGAAGGGAGGAACATCCGGAAGGGAGGAAGAAACAACTCCAGACTCACCGCCTTTAAGAATCGTAACACTCACCACAAAGGTCTGCAGCTTCACTCCTGGAGTCAGTGAGATCACGAACCCAACAGAAGGAACAAACTCCGGACACACCAACTTTAAGAACTGTAACCCTCACCACGAGGGTCTGCTGCTTCATTCTTGAAGTCAGCAAGACCAAGAACCCACCAATTCTGGACACAGTATCCCTTGATTTATCAAGATATAATGAAAACCTACAATGTAACAGGTAATGTGTAACATATTGGTGTTAAAAAGATGATAAAATTAAAATATAGTTTCTGTCCTTAGAGAGTTCATGTCTAATAGGAGATAGACAAGCAAATAAGCTATTGTAAATTAAAAAAAAAACTTATTATGGTAAAAATAGAAATTATTTGTCTTTAAAAATGGTGTGTTTAATACACAAAAACATTTTATTAGTTCACCATAACCTTTACCTCTACCTATGTTTGAGCTCGAGTTGTCTAGATTCATCTAGGCTCTTATAGGTAGCTTACTGCCTCATAAATTTCAAACTATCTTTAGTTCTTTGGTACACGCAGTCAATTCAAACCACAGACCTTCTTCACATAAAAGTCAGATTGATTACTTGATATTCCATGCTCATCCTAAAAGGAATTATGCTCACTGACCTTGATATACTCACTGACCTTGTTTGACTACACTTTTCGACAGATTGGCTGTTCTGGTTCTATATAGGGAAGGATTGTATAGGCAATGAATGAGAAGAATTTCATAAATTTATATCTTTCCAGGTAAAGTTGTGAATAATACAATTTATCAATTTCAAAAAATGGAAAAGAAAAATGAGGAGGGAATTTACATGCATATGAAAACAGAGATATGTGAGGTTGAAGGAAAATAAAAGTTTAAAATAGATCAGAAATATTTGGATTTTTAACATTAAAATTCGAGTACGTTTTCATAGCGAGCTTGCTCTGCTCCTTCATGAATATACATGTAACTAAAACCAACACTCCTAAAATCTTACGAGAATTAAGAAACCAATTAAAAAACAAAACATTAAAAGAGAGGACTATTTGGAAACAACTAAATCGGAGAGGCAGGCAATTAATAGTTTGAATAACAAAGGGAAACTAGCAAAAAGTCAATTAGAAGTTAAATACATGAAATTTTAAATCACTTAAACAAAAGCTAACTTCTAATTTTGTTGCAGGCAAGTCATTGACTTTTAAAAAATATACTTGAAAAGTATGTAACCATTATGCTACTTCATATTCCTAATAAACAACGTGAGGGGGAACTGTTTTCTGCTTTCAGTCAGCTTCTAAAAGGATCAAAATATTTTTACCACTCATATGTAAGCTCTATCTCCACAGAGAATCTTGTGTTTTATTCATCATGGTAGCCAAGGTTTGGTTCAATTGCTGTCATTCCATTTTAACACATGCTAGGCATTGAAATATATGATTAGAATTAGCATTGACTGAGTCTTTGGCAAGATTATTCATTGAAATGCCCCTTTATGTTTCATTCGCACTGCTTCAGATAATTAGAAGGAAAATGTGAAAAGAATTAAGAGTCAAACTGGTTTTAGCTTCTTACGTGGCTCCTCCACTTATTTCAAAGGAAAAGCTTGGTGTTATGCATGACAACTGGCGCATCCCTCGTCCTTAATGTAGAATTAGGTGTCTTTAGGTGAAAAAACCAAAGAATTTAGGAAAAACTTACTTTTTTTGTAATAAGAAAGTGATTCTAGGTCTTGAAGACTAAAAAAAGGGTGACCAAAATCATCAGAATGTGAAACAGCTTCCCTCAAGATTGGAAAATTTTCCATCAATATAGGGAATGACAGGATTTAGGATCTGAATAGAAGCAAAAACCCTTGCCTATGTCCCAGTAAGTGGCGACAGTAGCAAAATCTTACATGGAAGAGTTGGGGGTTGTTGTACACTGAAGAATAAATTCAAGAAGTCAGGGCTTTTTAGCCCTAGCAAATTGAAATCCCCACCATTCTGGCCATATTATAGGAGGAGAAGTTAAACTGAGTTTAGAAAATGAAAAATGATCTCAGCGAAGTCACCAGTAAAAGAGGAGTCTTCACTGGCCACACTTACTAGGTTAATTAATTCCCAGTATTATCTGATCTCATAGCACCACACCTTTACAACAATTATCAGAGTTAATACTTTATATTTATTTGCTAGGTTTGCTGTTAAGAATGTAATCTCCAACAGCAGATGTCATGCCTAGTTTTTCACCCTCTTCTAGACTAAAAAAGTCCCATACTAAAAGTAAAGTTGGTGAATGAATTAATGTGCACTCTATTGCATACTCAAGCCTACCACAAGTCATATATGGAAAAAAAAACCTCTTGAAAGTAATTTATAAAGAAACTGATACTAGATATATGAATTAGACACAATGTTTGAATTATCAAATTGAGATAAAACATTCGAAAGAAAAGTGATATATAGAAATGTCTTTCATAGGAAAGCCATAAGTTGCTACGGTCCATAATGCTGATGTCCTTCAGATATAAAATTGGCCCTTCCAAATAGGCAGTAAGATGTTTGCCACCATTGGTGTTACCGATTATTTTAAAGCTCAAAATACAAATGACTAGAATGTATTTATTTGTTTGTTTATTTTTCTACTTCAGTGAGTGTAATATGTAGTTTACAACAAATTGAATATCAAATACTAGGATAGTATTAACCTCTTAAAACTGCAGGATGCAGGGTAATTCAGTAAATTAAGGCACATTAAGAAAACGTAGTATATGATGTAAATTATAAGAGATTGAGAAAGTCACCCAGACAATGTAAAAGTTCTTGCCCTACTCACTCATACAAATAATTATTTTGCCAAGTTCTTAGCAAAATACACTAGGTGTCTCATGACAGAAACAAAGTGTCTATGGTAATACAATTTGAGTTTCTGTGGCAGTGAGTGAGAATGAATGTGCTTACAATTATTGGTTTTATATGTATATATATATGCATATTATATATGCATATAACATATATAATTTTATCCAGTTATTGGTTATCTATGTATCATTTATGTAATGTGAATTTCATTTGTTCAGCCGGACTGTTTTAAACCATAATGCTAAATAAATATGTGAATATTATCAATTTACTCAGCCTCCCAATGCTTCAGTTTTCTTACTTCTACAATAGACATAATAATGATATTTCAAATAAAACATGGTTCTGAGGAGCAAACAAAGTGTAATAAATATAAAGTTATTATATAGTATATAATTATACTTATATGTATAGTTTAGCATAGTTTTTGACACATAGAAAGTGAAGAAATGATAGACAGTAGTAATAATAGTAAGTAATTAGTAATCTGTTAAGTTGCAGGGCTTTTTCTTTTGTATTTAAAATAACTATTTGAATGTAAACTTATTGCTAAATCTAATGCCAGCTGTTGTGTATACTCTCTTAGTTTGACTATGTTTAATTTATAGAGATTTGATGTTGCTGCATTATTGTTTTCTATGTATTTAATTTGATTACCTGAGACTTGAGAAAGTTATTCTTTTATCCATTTAATAAATCGTCTATTTTATATTCTATGTTCTGAAGGAAAAACTGACATTTAGTTAGAAAACTGATGGATGGGGTTAGAAAATACAGGGATATTCAAAAGCATGTTTTTTCCTGCTGTGCCAGAGGGAATCTTTGGAAATATCTTTTCCTGTGGTGCTATGAACATTCTTTGAATATTTGAGAAAATGCTCTGGTTCTCAAGTTTCATAAAATGTATGAAAATAAAAACAAGAAATCCTATCTAGCAAATGATTAAAGATTAATGAATAATATATTTCTTGACTACTTAGTCTATTATTCAATGCTCTGCACTTCTTTTTTTTTATTTTTTTTAAATTTATTTTTTTATTATACTTTAAGTTTTAGGGTACATGTGCACATTGTGCAGGTTAGTTACATATGTATACATGTGCCATGCTGGTGTGCTGCACCAACTCATCATCTAGCATTAGGTATATCTCCCAAAGCTATCCCTCCCCCCTCCCCCCACCCCTCAACAGTCCCCAGAGTGTGATATTCCCCTTCCTGTGTCCATGTGATCTCATTGTTCAGTTCCCACCTATGAGTGAGAATATGCAGTGTTTGGTTTTTTGTTCTTGCAATAGTTTACTGAGAATGATGCTTTCCAATTTCATCCATGTCCCTACGAAGGACATGAACTCATCATTTTTTATGGCTGCATAGTATTCCATGGTGTATATGTGCCACATTTTCTTAATCCAGTCTATCATTGTTGGACATTTGGGTTGGTTCCAAGTCTTTGCTATTGTGAATAATGCTGCAATAAACATATGTGTGCATGTGTCTTTATAGCAGCATGATTTATAGTCCTTTGGGTATATACCCAGTAATGGGATGGCTGGGTCAAATGGTATTTCCAGTTCTAGATCCCTGAGGAATCGCCACACTGACTTCCACAATGGTTGAACTAGTTTACAGTCCCACCAACAGTGTAAAAGTGTTCCTATTTCTCCACGTTCTCTCCAGCACCTGTTGTTTCCTGACATTTTAATGATTGCCATTCTAACTGGTGTGAGATGGTATCTCATTGTGGTTTTGATTTGCATTTCTCTGATGGCCAGTGATGATGAGCATTTTTTCATGTGTTTTTTGTCTGCATAAATGTCTTCTTTTGAGAAGTGTCTGCTCATGTCCTTCGCCCACTTTTTGATGGGGTTGTTTGTTTTTTTCTTGTAAATTTGTTTGAGTTCATTGTAGATTCTGGATATTAGCCCTTTGTCAGATGAGTAGGTTGTGAAAATTTTCTCCCATTTTGTAGGTTGCCTGTTCACTCTGATGGTAGTTTCTTTTGCTGTGCAAAAATCACAAGCATTCTTATACACCAACAACAGACAAACAGAGAGCCAAATCATGAGTGAACTCCCATTCACAATTGCTTCAAAGAGAATAAAATACCTAGGAATCCAACTTACAAGGGATGTGAAGGACCACTTCAAGGAGAACTACAAACCACTGCTCAACAAAATAAAAGAGGATACAAACAAATGGAAGAACATCCCATGCTCATGGGTAGGAAGAATCAATATCGTGAAAATGGCCATACTGCCCAAGGTAATTTACAGATTCAATGCCATCCCCATCAAGCTACCAATGCCTTTCTTCACAGAATTGGAAAAAACTAAAGTTCATATGGAACCAAAAAAGAGCCCGCATTGCCAAGTCAATCCTAAGCCAAAAGAACAAAGCTGGAGGCATCACACTACCTGACTTCAAACTATACTACAAGGCTACAGTAACCAAAACAGCATGGTACTGGTAGCAAAACAGAGATATAGATCAATGGAACAGAACAGAGCCCTCAGAAATAACGCCGCATATCTACAACTATCTGATCTTTGACAAACCTGAGAAAAACAAGCAATGGGGAAAGGATTCCCTATTTAATAAATGGTGCTGGGAAAACTGGCTAGCCATATGTAGAAAGCTGAAACTGGATCCCTTCCTTACACCTTATACAAAAATCAATTCAAGATGGATTAAAGACTTAAACGTTAGACCTAAAACCATAAAAACCCTAGAAGAAAACCTAGGCATTACCATTCAGGACATAGGCATGGGCAAGGACTTCATGTCTAAAACACCAAAAGCAATGGCAACAAAAGACAAAATTGACAAATGGGATCTAATTAAACTAAAGTGCTCTGCACTTCTTATGGACACAAAGACTATGTGTTCTGGTATCCACTCTGAATTTTGAATTTCACAGTAAAACCAAGATGTGTGCTGGATCTACTACATCTGCTCTTCTAGGTTCATGTTCTACTTGCCACGAGGCTGAGCTTGAGGAAGATGATTTTAAGTTAATATCACTGGGCTCCTTGCCCTCTGGTTCTCTGTTGAGTTCAGTAAATTGGAGGCCCTGAAACGAGATGGGGGTAGCAGAAAAGAGAGATCAGTTTACCTCCTCCCACAGTTCCTTCCCTTTCAAGTCGCTGTGAAGAATTTGCAATATTCTCCGCTCAAGGTGACAGGACCTCTTCTGTTTTCAATCATAACCTTCTCACCTTCTCCGTTTAGACCCAGGATTTGTCATTCTTCCAGCTGTTGATGGTGTCAGGGGTTTTTGCCATGCTTTGTTGATCTCAGTGTTGCCAATGTGATAGTATTGGTGGGGTAGCTAAGCTAGGCCGTGAGGGCTCGTTTCTTGTTAACAGGATTAAGGCCCATATAAAATAGGTGTCAGGCAGCAGCTCAGGTAGCTTGTTCTTGCCCTTCTGCCTTCTGCCTTCCTGAGGACACAGCAGGAAGACATTCATGAAACACCTGGGCCTTGGTCTTCTCAGCCCACAAAACTGTGAGAAATAAATTTATTGATACATTCTTTATAAATCATCTAGTCTGTGGTATTTTGTTGAAGCAGCACAAAATGGGCTAAGACTATAAATAAACATCTTTAATAATTTTCAGTTTTTAAATATGTGTAAAGCAGGAGAAAAGAATGTGCTGTCCAACTCGATCAAAAAATACATTTAGTTACTTTTGAAATACACTGCTGGGATCCTCCTTCAAAGGACTTGCTGGCACAACAAAGCTGTCAGCAAAGAGCCTCCACCTCTCAATCACTTCAGAGTTTATCTCACTTGAAATATGTCTTTGCCCAAGAGCATTCCCCTTTTTGTTTAGGGGTAGAAATTCCTGGACATGTCATCCCAATCCAGGACAAATTTGGATATTCCATTTCCAGAATTTTCCTGTATAATTAGAAGAGACTGTAGCTAGGTCCGCACTGCAGCTCAACTTCTGTCTCTGTTGGCTTTTTTCCTCTTCTTCTACAGACATTGATCCTAAGGACCCTCCTAATATATGAGGGCAAAGAAGCAAACAAACTCCAGCACAGAATCTGCTGGTCTGTGACATCCTGTATTGTTTAACCCTCCACTGCACTTACTCTTTTCTGTACATGCTAACTTAATGAAGGGGATCATAAATCGGATTTCAAAACTTTTTGTTCAGTAACTAAGGAAACATTAAGAAAAGGCAGTTGTAATAGCACAAGAAAAATTATCATTTATATACGAAATAGCCTATGGTTAGTATGTTTTTCATACAACTTTGTATTATAACATTACCTTGTATTTCACAACCGGAAAAAGAACTGTATATTTTATGGAGAAGTGTTATGGATAGCACATGGTGACAAAGCTTTATGCTTCAAATATATGTACAAATAAAAAAACAAGCACTGCCTTTATGAAAAGAAAGCAACCAACTATATCCAATGAAATAGGACCAAGATATAAGAAATAATCCAGTTAAGTGGATTATCAGCTTGATGTCCTCTGACACTCTTATTTTCATTCCCATTCTTTAAAAAAGGTGTCCTATCTTTAGATTTTTACAACGAAGAGACATTTCTTTTTTCTCTTGTCAGAGTGAAGGAGAAAAATAAATGATTTAATGACATACATAAATAACTTGATAATTTTATATATTCTTTTAAATATTTACAGTCTGTATTTTTATACATTCATATTAAAATAAAATTCCCTACGTAAATTTTTCTTCAGTACAACTAGGTTATCCATATATTAGATAATTATCTAGCATTCAATTCTTATCATGTACCTCAAACATATATTGGACAAAATAGCTTGGAAAATAGTTTCTCTGCATGATACCAGGTCACGAAACTTTATGATTATTTAATAGATTATTTTAGCTCAACTCTAACTAAAGGCATTTGGAAGAGTTTTATAAAGTGCCCACTGGCAACTCTTGTACACTTCTCACCTTCAGACTTTCTGTAAGGTGAGGAAATAAAAACAAATGTACATCTACCTTTAAAGTCACTGTAGGTCAGTGACTTTGATTACTTTGAAGAACAATATAATTTGAGTCAATACAAATAAACACACTAGCCATATTTCTGTCTAGGCTACATAACAGCTAGCTACAGGTTAGGCAAAGAAGAGACTCTGGTAATAATTTACAGGAGTTCCAGGACATTTCTCTATCCCATTTCCGGTGAAGGTGTTGCATCCTAGCCTCCTAAAAATCAAATGAGGAAGATCTAAAGTGGCCCCATTTAGAAAGACAGAGGGGTTCTTCATTAAATATAGACTTGCACCATTCTCCCCAGAGGCAAGCATGCATAGTCTCTCCTCTAAATTCTGATAAGAAGCACCAGAGAGTTACAAGACAGGATGCCCTCTGTTTAAACCATGAGAGGAAGGAGCTATGCCGTTGTCACAATTCAGCCTAAGTTTGCACAGCACACATCAGAAAATAATACTATGAAGAAAGCTTAAATGGAACGGACAGTACACCATAAAACTACAAATGCACCCTGTGAGAGAGCTGCCATTTGGAAGCCAGAAATGGCAAGTCATTAAGCAGCTAAAGAAAAACTTCACAGAGCAGTTAAGTAAAATTCCCTCTGCCACCTTTTCTTTCAGTTCATCTTATTCACTATCATCAACCTCATTGGGATATTGTGAAGGCAAAAGAGAAGACAATAAGTGGAAATTAAGAGAAAAAAATGACCATACCCTCTTTTAACCACAAAAGTGCTCAGGTTATCAAACTATGATTCAGTCTAAACTGGGTCTGAGAAAAATTTTAAACTGTATTTGAACGTGAAGTTCTAATTTGTCTAGATATTTAAATACTTAAAAATGTCAAAAGTTTAGATTACTACCTAAAATGCTCTTCAATTTTATATAAAGGATATCTGGGAGAATTAATCTAAACGCTATATAGCATAGAGAAAGAATTATCTATTTGCAATATAACAGATTCACTGTTTTCAGTTGACAGTTTCCTTTAGAAAGTGAATATGATTACATGTGAAACTTAGTTATAGCCCATTACAGACACATGAACTTCTGCTGCCTTTCAAATGGTGGCTTTGCTATTTCCACGTAAATAAAGCTGGAGTTGAAGACAAATATACTTACTTTTATAAATTATGAACATTTTCCTACCTTCAATAAAGTTTGTCTCTGGATGAGTGTTGCTTTATCACATTTCTTGAAAGAGAGTGAAGTAGAGGAAGTAGTGAAGTAAAATGCTTTTTAAATCATCTTTAAGAAATCATCATGTGGAAAGTAGATATTTCAATCAGATTTACTTCTACAAACATATTTTGAAAATAGTTATATTTGTTGATGATAATTTGGAGTACGAAGGAAAATTTTAGGTATTACTCTGGAACCTCAGTTTTAAAATTGAGAGACTGTTTGAAAGGAAAACATATTAAGTTTTATAATTGAAAAGTTCACAAAGTCTCTCTTGCCTTAGATATATCTGAGTCCAGATGCTCAAATAATGTCCATAGAAATCTGTTCTCTCCCACTCTTTCTTTGAGGAAGAGAGATGTCATCATTATTATTCATGATCAATTTACTCATGACAAATATTCAGTTCATCAATATGGAAAATAACAGAAACTAGTAATTTGGAAAACTTGGACATGTACTCAAATCTTCTGAATTTTATATTGTGTTTATATTGTGTTGCCCCACACTGAAACATATATGTGTGTCTGTACCAGTGGGTGTGTATTTTTTATAGCTAATTTCCTAATATTTTCTATGGCTGTTTACATTTATAAGATAGATACCAAATGATGAATTGATATATAAATTGATAAATAAAGATACATTTGTATTACATTTGTCTGATTTCAGAATCAAAGTAATGGTGGTCTCAAAAATGAGTTGGAAAATATTCTCCTTCTATAAATAGTCTTCATGAAAATATTTTTCGTTATGAATTCAATTTGTAAGTAGATATAAGAATAGAGATTTGGAATTAAAAACATTTAATAGATGTAGTGGGCCGGGCGCGGTGGCTCACACCTGTAATCCCAACACTTTGGCAGGCCAAGGTGAGCGAATCACTTGAGGTCAGGAGTTCAAGACTAGTCTGGCCAACATGGTGAAACCCCATCTCTACTAAAAATACAAAAAAATTAGCCTGATATTCAGACACACACCTGTAATCCCACCTACTTGGGAGGCTGAGGCAGGAGAATCGCTTGAACCTAGGAGGCGGAGGTTGCGGTGAGCTGAGATCGCACCACTGCACTCTAGCCTGGGCAAAAAAGCGGGACTCCATCTCAAATAAATAAATAAATAAAAATAGATGTAGTGTTTTTAGGTTTATTAATTATTCCTTAAGGTATTTGAAGCTGTGTTATGTGTTACATCACCATAAATAACAATTATCTCTTATTTACAAATTGATTTTCTCATTATTGTACAATATTTTCTTTATCTCTTGAAATGCTATTTGTCCTGGAGTATGTATTGGCTCATAGTATTATTCTTTCTGCCTTATTTGTGCATTGTATTTGCTTGGTATAGATCTTACCATCCACCTACTTCCAACCTGTTTGTGACTTTTTTTATATAGTGTGTCTCTTGTAAATGAGACATAGCTTTCTATTTGGGCTGACATTGCCTTTCATTGGAGTGTATAATACAGTTCATTTTTTAATTTACAGAACCTATTGCTAGGGCAGTCTTTAAGTCTATAATCTTGCTCTTTGTTGTGTACTGGTCCCCTCCAATCTTTGTTACTTATTTTATTCTTTCCTGAATTATTTTGTTTTAATTATTTAATTTAGTATTTTATTTTATCTAATTGCTTGACTTGTAGTCAGTTTTTTGTATTTTTAGTGGCTCTTACAGAGATGACAATACTACCATTAATTTTCACAGTCTACTGTCAAGTATAGTATAACAGCCCCTGCATAAGCAAATAGGTTTATTATGTATTATTATGCATACCACTCTTTCCTTTGTGCTTCAGTTATAGTATTTAGCTGTATACATATTTTATAAACACCATATCAGAGAATATATAATTTTACTATGTTGTTGCTTTAAATATTCAATAGACTATCAAAAACTAAAAATCAGCAAAAGAGATATTTAATTATATTTATCCACATTATCATTTTGAGTGTCAATCACTCTTTTCTGAAGATCCTACTTTTCATCTGGTGCCACTTTTCTTCAAATAGTCTATTGATAAAGTAAAGGCCAAAAGAAGTGTGATTATCACAATAGATGAATAAAATGTTTTTAAAAACTCCACACACATTCATGATGAAAATGCTAAGCAAACTATGAATAAAAGGTAACTCATCATTCTAATACAGATTTTTTTTTTGACACCTAGTCTCACTCTGTCACCAGGCTGGCATGCAGTGGCACAATCTTGGCTCACTGCAACCTCCACCTCCCGGATTCAAGCAATTTTCCTGCCTCAGTGTCCCGAGTAGCTGGGACTACAGGCCACCAGGTGTGCACCACTGCGCCTGGCTAATTTTTTTTTTTTTTTTTTTTTTTTTTTGGGTATTTTAGTAAAGATGGGGTTTTACCATGTTGGCCAGGATGGTCTCGATTTCCTGACCTCGTGATCTGCCCGCCTCAGCTTCCCAAAGTGCTGGGATTACAGGCGTGAGCCACCTCACCCAGACCAGATTTTTAAAAAAATTCGTGATAATAGAATATTAGTGGTAAATGACTGATAGTTTTGTCATAAGATTGGAAAGAAAGCAAATATCTTGGCTCTCACTTCTATTCATCGTCATATTTGAAGTTTTAGCCAGCATTATCAGGAAAGTGAATGAGAAAATAAATGCCGGCCAGAATGCAGAGAAATTATTAAAACAGTCTTTTTTTTGCTGTGGTGTTGGTGAGTCACATGATCTTGTATAAAAAGTCTACTAGAAGCAAGGAGATCAGCAGAGTTACAGGACGCAAGAGCAATATGCAAATAGCAATTATATTTCTATACATTAGTAATAAAAACTCCACTAAGATTTCCAAGATTATTTTACTTGCCTTCGTAATTTATTCTGTTTCTTTCATATTTAAAACATCCTTCTCAAATCTAGAATCAGGTAAATATTCTCCCAAGTTTTCTTATTTTTATATAATATGATTTTGATTCATTTATTTAATTAACAATAAATAATACTTAAAAATGAAAATCTGCCTTATTTATGATATTGTAACTATTACTAGAACTAGTTTTCACCTTTATTGTGACATTCTTGGTATTATTTTATTGAGGGCAGATATACAAAGAAGGAGAAAAAAAGCGATCAAACTTCTCACTTTTTAGACAGCTCAGATATGCTGCCATACCTTATTTTCTTCTTTTATTTTGAAGATGTGTTATTCTTGCTCATTATTTCTTCTGAATATTTTCAAACTTAATTAGCTATGGTTCAAAAATGTTGTCAAGTATTATTTTGATTGAGGATGTATCAAATATTTAAAAAATTGAAGTACATTAACATTTTTATAGTTTTTTCTTTTTCCTCCTCAAGAACACGGCATGTTTCTGTCAATGTTCAAAACCTTATGGTAAAAATGTAGGTTTTTAATTTTAGGGAAAGAAGGAAAA
This sequence comes from Homo sapiens, assembly GCF_000001405.40. Lineage (NCBI taxonomy): Eukaryota > Metazoa > Chordata > Mammalia > Primates > Hominidae > Homo > Homo sapiens. Next base: position 83,530,158 of record NC_000013.11, read on the forward strand.
TAAAGCAAACGAAAGTCTCAGAGATTTGTCTGCCGCTACATACATTTACTCTATGAGAAAATATTTATTTAGCTATATATTTTTTCTGAAACTAGAGACTCCGGTTTTAGCCAACATGAAAGTGTGCTGTAAATTATAGTGAGGTAGCTTCCTTGATCTGAGCAGAAACCTGCAGAGGTCATGTATACTCTTGCTACATTAGAGTGTGAGCCTCAGCCCAGTGGCATCAGCATGGCTAGGAGCTTGTTAGAAATTTAGAATCCTGGGCCCACTTCTGACCTCCTGAATCAGAACCCATACTTTAACAAGATCCCCAGGCCATTCTTTTTATGTGCATTAAAGTTTGAGGAGCACTGATCAAGGCTACCTATCACTTGTAGCAGGAAAACAACTTCAAAGGAGAACAAACGATATAGTAGAAATAGTTCTGTTCAATATTAGTCAATGTTAATACATATCAATAAATATGTTTTTCTCACTATTAATGATAAAATGACAATATTTGTTTCAATTTGTCTTTAAGCCCAGTTTACTTTACCAAGTGTCTGCTTGCCTGCAGTTCATGCTTTTTGAATGCAAGATCATTTATAAAGATGTATCCTAAATCCCAAATACAAGGGAGACACTACATAAATATTTTTGAAAAAAAGAGTGAATAAGTGAGCCCTTTAAAGTCGGTCAGTTACAAAAGAGAATTCAGGTAAAAATAATTTACTAGCCCCTCACTTTTTTAAAGAAATAGATATCTAAGTTATTTTAACACTATATTGTTAACATACTATTTACATGATATTTGTAAAAAGGAATATGCTTGTGTTTGTGTTCTAAGTTGCATAACAAATTACTACAAACTTAGCAGCATTTAAAAAACAAGTTTATTATCTCAGAGTATCCACTGGTCATCTACAGATGCATGATAAATGAGTCCTCAGCTCAGGTCTAATAGGGCTGCAATCAATACCACCACCAAGGGCTGCAATCTTCTCTGAGGCCCAGAGTCTTTGTCCCAGATTACTGGTTGTAGGCAGAGGTTCCTTGCTGTCGCTGGGCTAAAATACCTGCTTTCTTGCTGAGTGGCAGCTAGGAGCTGTTCTCAGCACCTAGAGTCCACTTAGCATTTCCAGCTCTGTGGTCCTTTCCATAACATGGCAGTTTGCTTCTTCAAGGCCAACAAGCAAGCCTTTCTCCAGTTGCTATGTTGTAGTTAGTCCCATATAATATAATTCAATCACTATTGTGACTCTCCCATAATGCTGAGCATAAAACATAATCTAATCAAGAGAGCAATACCGAACCAGAGTCAAGGGTTCCTCTTGCACTCACCATGACAGGATTACACAGGGCATGTACATTAGGCGAATCTTGGAGAACCTCTTTGAATTCTGCCTACCACGGTGCTCATTACTGGGTCTTTTTCTTTTGCTTACCTATAAAGGAAGACGCTGGCCTTTTCAGAACTGACTCAGAAGCCTTAAGAAGACATATCCCAAATCTATTTTGCTGCTTCTAGAAATGATACATTTTCAATTCCCAAAATAAAATTTGCTGCATTGAAGAGTCCAATTTTTACTACAAATATTTTCACAAATAAGTGTCCTTTATTTTACGTATATATTTCAGTATTTGTGAGTGAAGTTTGTCACTAATGAATTTGTATTCACATACTTGAAAGCTAATCTCATTGGTTCTCTTAATTTAAACTTGTTTGAGGGAAATAAAATCCAATATGCTGGCTATACAGTGCTTGCTGCTAAATATAATTTTCTAGCATATTTAATAGAACGTTTCAAATAGTCAAACCTATAAAACAGTAAAGAGTAAAAAGTCTAATAATTAGAAAAGGGTCCTCTTTTTTATTAAAATGCAAGTTTAACTAAGACAGTTACATGTTTACTATAGGGCTAGATTATTTTAAAAGGTAACTGTTTTGTTAGCATTTTATGGTGTGGGTTATACAAGGATGATAATTAGAAATAATCTAAGACACTTTTTTTTGCCTTCTCCTGTACTTTTAAAATCAGAAAAGGGAAGAACATGAAAATTATTACCTTATCTTGGGTATGTCTTTTTAACCATATAATGATATCATGCCAAGGCTGTTATCAGACATCGCATAACCAGGAAATAAAAGGACAGAATTAAACATGACTACTAAAAATAAACTTTGTGAGAATTAACCTTCAGACAACTGCAAGTATAAAGTATAGTAAGTATAAATTAGTTCTCTGCAAAGACAATGCATTGAGACTTTTTTCTATGTCAGTTTTTACAAACTGGTTTTCTAGGGAGTACTAAAAATAAATATTTGTCACTAAAACTAAATAAACCTAGGCTGAAAATGTGTATCTATGGTTACCTTAGGAGCAGGCTTGAATAACTTCATTTTTCTTCATTGTATTATAGACTGAAACGGCAAAGAATGACCACAGTTTCCATTAACATAATTTCAAAGTCAAACCTTTTGATGAAAAATGTATCCTACTGTTTAAAAGAAATTTAGGATACTTTTAATGCTTCATCATAATGATACAAGAGTGCTGGGAAGGGAAGAGTGTGGTCCCTTTAAATGATATGCAAGCGGGGAAGGAAGTGCTGGGGAGCGGAGGGTGTGGTCCCTGGCTGGGGCTCCACCCTCATGAACCTAGGTGAGGACAGTCACTCCTGCCTTAGTTGCTTTTCCCGACTGTCACTCCAAATGTTGCTTTTCCCGACTGTCCTGGCCCACCACGCCCCCATCCTGGGCTTATAAAAACCCAAGATACCGGCAAGGCAAAGACAGAAGCTGCTGGCTGGAGAGAGGAACACATAGGTGTAAGAAGACACAAGCAGCTGGTCATCAAGAGCACGCTGACACTCTGGCAGGCCATCGACCTGCCGGACAAGGCAGAGTTTGGCCGGAGCAGTGTGAGGAAAGCCGGGGCTGCCGAGTGGCCCAACTCCAGGTGAAAATCATCTCCCTTCTGAGTCCCTCATTGGAGGAGAGTTACTTCCACTCAATAAAACTTCGCACTAATTCTCCAAGACCATGTGTGATCCGATTCTTCTGCTACACCAAGGCGAGAACCTGGGATACAGAAAGCCCTCCATCCTTGCAACAAGGTAGAGGGTCTAATTGAGCTGGTTAACACAGGCTGCCTATAGACAGCAAACTAAGAGAGCACCCTGTAACACACATCCACTGGGGCTTCAACTGTAAACATTCACCCCTAGATCCTGCCATGGGATCGGAGCCTCACAGCCTGCCTGTCTGTATGCTCCCCTAGAGGTTTGAGCAGCAGGGCGCTGAAGAATCCAGCCACTCCACCGGATGAGCCCCCAGTTGAAACGAGAAAGTTTCCCTTGTTCCAGTCACCTGTTGGTACCCATGGCCAGCACCTGCCAAGGTCGCCAGGACTCAGGGATAAGGGGTGGAGTGTGAAAGGAGGGCACTCACTTTCTCTTTCCTTCACACCCTGAGTTTTTGCTGAAAGAAGGAATGGAATGAGGGACGCTTCTATTTCCTGTCTTTCAGAATGGGCAATCAGTTCTCACCACTGCCAGCTCATACTCCTCTGGAGTGTATCCTGAACCACTGGGACTGCTTTGACCCTCAGAATCTGGAGGAAAAATGCCTTATTGCCCTCTGCACAAAGGTTTGGCCAAGTTACGATTTACAGGAAGAACTGTCTTGGCCTCAGGAAGGAACCATTCATTTCGATACCATCTGTCAATTGGAACTTTTCTGTAGACATGAAGACAGATGGTCTGAGGCCCCATGTGTACATGCTTTCTATACCTTGCAAAGCCATCTAGACCTTTGCTGACAATGTAGGATTGATCCAGCCCTCCTGTTTGCCACCTCAGGAATTCCCTGGGCTTGCATGGGGCAAGCCCAGGAAATTAAAGATATGAGTACCAGAGGCACCCCCAAAAGAGGAGACAGCTCTCTCTAGCTCTGCTCCTCCCTCTCCGGGTCCACCCTGACTTCCCTATCCAGCTTCCGCCTCTCACTTGCTCCCTCCTAGAAATCCTCACTCTAGACAAGTCCCAATCTCAGGCTTGCCCCTGCAACAGATGCCCAGTGCATTTGGGCCCAGTAAGGTCCAGGCCCCTTTCTCCTTACAGGATTTAAAGCAAATTAAGGGGGATCATGGCAAGTTTTCAGATGACCCTGATAGATATATAGAGGCTGTCCAGAATTTCACTCGAATATTCGAACTCTCCTGGAGAGAGGTTATGTGACTTAAATCAGACCCTGACAGACACTGAGAAACACGCTGCTCTGCAAGCAGCAGAGAGAATTGCGGATGAGCTTTGCCTCACATATAGCATCAGGGAAGGGGGTGAATACTATTCAACTGGAAGAGAAGCAGTACCAGTGAATGACCCTAAATGGGATCCCAGTGATGGGGTGGAAGATTAGAAGAGGAGTCACTTTCAGGCATGCATAATGGAAGGCTTATGTAGAACTAGGACCAAGCCTCTCAATTATACTAGGTTGTCCATGATTGACCAGGAATTTGATGAAAATCCCACTGCCTTCCTGGAAAGACTAAGAGGGGCCTTGGTAAAGCACACCTCTCTATCTCCTGATTCAGTCGAGGGACAACTAATCTTAAAGGATAAATTTATTACTCAGACAGCCCCAAACACCAGGAGAAAGTTGTAGAAATAGGCCCTGGGACCAGATAGTACATTAGAGGACCTCCTGAAAGTGGCTACCTCAGTCTTTTATAATAGAGACAAGGTGGCCTGGGAAAGAGAGAGGAGATACAGGTATTCCCAGGGTGCACCTGTTAACTGCTAAACATATGGCAAGAATAGTTATCTCTCTTCTAAAGTTTAACCTTTCCCAATACAAGGTTTAATTTCTTTCACCAGAGTGAAACAGCTCAGGTACAATGTTGTTGGTATTATATTTTACTTCTTGTCTCTGTAATCTTTGGCACTAAATTCTTTCCTTGTAAAATACACGCTTAATCATGCATACTTAACCTTATAAAACTTGTTTTTTCTCTCACACCTAGAAGCCGTCAAAATGATACAGTTCTAGGAAAGGAAGAGCATGGTCCCTTTAAATAATACGAAAGGCGGGGAAGAGAGGTGCTGGGGAGAGGAGGGCGTGGTCCCTGGCTAGGGCTCCACCCCCAAAAACCTATATGAGGACAGACACTCCTGCCTCTGCACCCAAATGTTGCATTTCCCAAGATCACTCTGGCCCACCACGCCCCCAGACCCTAGCAAGGCAGAGACAGAAGCTGCTGGCCAGTGAGAGGAACACGTAGGCAGAAGAAGACACAAGCAGCTGGTCTTCAAGAGCACGCTGGCCGAAGAGCACACCGACAGATGCTGGCATGCCGGCAGGCCATCGACCGGTGGGACAAGGCTGAGTCTGGCTGGGGCAGTAGGAGGAGAGCCGGGCCATCGAGCGGCCCAACTCCGGGTGAAAACCATCTCCCTTCTGCCTCCCCCATCAGTGGAGAGCTACTTCCACTGAATAAAACTTTGCACTCATTTTCCAAGCCCACGTATGATCTGATTCTTCGGGTACATCAAGGCAAGAACCCGGGATACAGAAAGTCCTCTGTCATTGCGACAAGGTAGAGGGTCTAATTGAGCTGGTTAACACAAGCCACCTACAGATGGCAAACTAAGAGAGCATCCTGTAACACATGCGCACTGGGGCTTCAGAAGCTCTAAACATTCACCCCTATACCAGACACTGGATTATACGCTTTACTTATATCACTGCTTTTTTTTTCCTCTAAAAAAGTCACTGCCATGAGGTTGGAGCCCCACAAACTGCCCATCTTTATGCTCACTTACAGGTTTGAGCAGCAGGGCACTGAGGAAGTTAGCCACTCCCCCATCACGTGTCCTGCGAGGAGGACAAGGGAACCTTTCCCATTTCAATAATGTGCACTATACATTGATTTGGCACTTTTTACTTATACTTATGGTTTATCCAGGGCTTCCTACAAATGCAAGAAAATGGTATAATTTTGTGTCTCGATACAATGTTTGTATATTTACTACAGTTGGGGGCTACAATCTAATCTGAAGCCCAGAGTCTTCTTCCCAGATTACTGGTTGGCAGAGGTTCCTTGCTTTTGCTGGGCTAGAAAGCCTGCTTTCTTGCTGAATGGCAGTGTCTAAGATCTCACAATACACCTTGTGATTCAATAGAATTCTTCCTTCTGCCTTTATTGAGCAATCTTTAAGCAAAGTTAAGCAGGAGTCATAGGAACAGGAATATCTAGTAAATCTATAGTCTTTCAGCCTTTCTGCAATGTAGCTTCGAAATAATGTGTCTTGCATCTCAATGGAAAATGTAGGGATTTGAAATTTAAATGACTTTTTCCTATAGGAAGAATAAAATTGATTTTAACAACATCAAATTTAATGCAGTTCACACACTCATGAATTATTTATTAACACCCCTAAAACATGTTTTCCATAATTAATTTATCATTTCATACATCAACTAACAATTATTCTGAGCCAGGTATCAGTGATAGCATTAGCTACCCTACCATCAGTTGTTCCTGATGGAAATGTTCAGACTTCAGTAAACCAGGCAGAAAGTACTGAAAAGACAGAGAAACCTTCAAAGTAGCATCACGCTGTGCAAAGTGTACATTCTCTTTCTTTTCAGAAATGTCCTAGCAAGGAAATTTTGTGAACCTTAATACCATGGTTCTTGCTCCTTTACCAATCACTATTCCTACCTTAGTCGTATTTTCACAGACTTTATGAGTAAGATGAATGGAGTCAGGATGGGCAAGAATGGTATGACATGAGCAAGGTGGTTCATAGGCAGTAAGTAGTACTTTCAATGTGCAGAAAACTGAGCTGGGAGAACAGTCTGTTCATTATAGCCCTGGGAGTCCAGTCATGACCCATGGACAAGGAAAAGTTAGATGATTCAGCTACAACATCCAAGTGTAGTGGTTAAAAGAGTCTCTGAGAAACATTAGACATACCAATCCAAAGTCTTGTTCATACAGATTTGGTTTCGGAAGTAAGAAGTGAAAGTAGGGATTTGCATTTTTAACAAACAAGCCAATGTCTTTCATGACCAGATATTCAGGTTTTCCAAACTGTGTGACTCAGTATAGAAATACAAAGATCGTTAGCTTCAATGACACTCAGGAATTCAAGAAGAAGGAAAAGGTATTTTGAAAGCCATATATAAAGTTTATTTTAACTTTTATGTAGAAAATGTAGAAATAATAATTAGAACTCCTAATGATAAAGATGACCCATTACAAGACACCTGAAAATGTTTGACTGTCGCCAAGTGTACCTGTTTCAATAAATGAACATCTGTACTCTATGTTGTAGTAACTGAAATAAGGTTTCAATATTTTCACTTTCTGGAATTAGACTCCCAACCCGTCTACAATATTTTACACATGTTTAGAAAACATAGTATATATAGAATTAAAGGACTGAATTAAGGAACCAAAAGTTTTCTGGTACTGAACTATTTGAAGGAACATTGTTTAGAACCTCTGAAACATTTCTTTAAGCAATCTCAGTGGTGAAAAGTAGTCACAGAATTTTAACATAGATTTTTTTTTATACCAGACACTGTACTATATGCTTTACTTTTATCACTGCTTTTTTTTTCCTCTAAAAAATACTCTTTTGGGGAGAAGAGCCTGCATGCCCCAAGGTTTCCTAAGTTAGTCCCAAGTGACCAGCAACACTGGTAAAATATCACATCTGAAAAAAATCTATGACCATTCCATAACATAATATAATCATATATGAAATTTAAAATACCATTTAGATTATTTAATACCTAAACCTTAAAATAAGTTAAAATAAGTTTCAGTAAGATCAATAATATTTATATTGTGGCTTTCCAATATAAATTGTTTACCATCACAAACATCCTGGTTCACCACTCCATATCTCCATAGCCATAAAGAGTAATATTTCACAAATTCCTCTAATATTTAGAACAATTCCAATATGTCAGTGTCATTAGTCCCATTTAATGCATGAGAAAAATAAGTCTTAAAAAACAAGTCATTTTCCAAAGTCATATGCAAATAGGGCTTATAAAATCTATGATTTCAACCATTGTCCATTTGACCTTAAAGCCCATACTATTCCCATTAAACTTCTTGTCTTATGAAAAAGGAGCTTGATATTAGAAATAGTAAAAGATAACACACAAAGAAATGCATAAATGGTGAAAGATTTAGTTAAAAATACTGTTTTAATATGTTATAACTGTAAAAGAGCAAGACTTCATTTACTGCTTAATAATCAGCAAATATTATACCTTTAGTGGCTACAATGTACCCAGCACTCTAATAAGAACCAAGTGATAGCAGCAGGGGCAGACAAATGCCTAGGAAGACAGGGGCAGGTCCTCAGTGAAACCCAACCTCCAAGTCAAAGGCAGTTTAAAGCCTGAAAGCCAAGCTACAAGTCAAATCCATGGACCAGATTGAGAACTTGTCTTCCCATTTGGTGCACTTGCCTCTGATTGATCCCCACCCTTCACCTATTTTACATATGTCTACCCTTTCCTAATTGGTTTTCTACACTGCCATGCCTGCTTTTGAGTGAAGCCTTTTCTTTAGCCTTTCTTTGCATACTCACAAACCAATCAGCACACACTCCCTTATTCTAAGCCCATAAAAGCCCTAGACTCAGCCACACTGTTGGGAGAAATCTCCCCAGGCGTGGGGAACCACCCCAGCATCCTTTTCTGCTAAGAGCTGTTCCATCACTCAATAAAGTCCTTCGCCACTCTCCTCACTCTTCAATTATCAGTGTATCCTCATTCTTCCTGGATGTGGGACAAGAGCTTGGAACCCACCAAATGTGAGCACAGAGAAGCCTGTAACATCATGGCTGTCTGCCCTCTGCCAGTGGAGGGCAGCTGCCCCACTTGACAGAAACAGTGGTAGGGCTGAACCAGCCCCAAAGCCACCAGCCAAGGTGGGGCAAAGGCATTGCCAGCTAGGTGTCTCTGGCAGGCAAAAATGATCAAGAAAAGTCCTGTGTCACAAGGAGAGTAAGATACTGTTTTTAATTCCTAAAGAGTGAGTAAGTAACCCAATGATAATTTTTATGATAAATGTCCAGTATAAAGTACAGAATCTATACTCTATATTTGAAACTAAACAAATTAGATGTATAGTCAAAGCCTGCCTCCATAAGTGGGTGAAATTCCTTGCATATGTTTTTATGGTTATCTAGCTGTGTCTTAATTTGACTAAAAAGTTGTGAACTATTGTGACAACTTATTATGATATGTCTCCTTTTCCTATATCTATAATCTTGAACTATAATGTGACTTTGTACCTCTTCTCATTAAAAGATGGAATTGTCTTTAATACAGGTGGCTTTACAACTTGCTTTGGCCAAGATAACAGTAGCAAAATTGAAGCGGGAACATACTTGAAAATTGCTCCTGTGTTAAGCTTGCCATCTCACTGCCTGGGGAACTCTGATGTCATGTGAACAACCCTAGACAAGCCAGCTAGCGGATAACACACAGGAGACACTTCATCTACCCCAACCATCCCAGACCAAAATGTTATAAACCAGCCAGCCCCACATATTATTACCCTGTAGATGATAACAGCTGTGAAAGGATGAGGCCAAATAAGAACAACTGCCCATCTGAAACAAACCCAAAGTTTTTACTCACAAAGCATGAGTGAAATAACTGATTATTGTGTTAAGCCTTAAATTCTGGGGTAGATGTTTACACAGGACTAGATAACTGATACAACTGGAAAATAGAGAGTTCCTTCAGCATCCAAGTATTGACCATAAGAGAGAATGAGAAACAGCAGCTGGAAAGAGGGGGGGAAAATGATGATATTTACATGTGAATGATTGACAGTAGATGGAAGCAGAAAGTTCAGATATATCCTGCCTGATAAATTCTATTATCTGCATGAAATGAGAGGTTGGGTCTTCTGAGAATCAGGTGGTGAGATAGTGAGATGCATGAGAGTAATAAAAGTTTGAAATATATCTTGAGGGAAAGGGAAACAGAGATGTCAAGGGACTCTTGAAAATGCTTAATGTCCTACTGAATTCAGGGAATCTGAAATTGTTGGGGGATTTGTCATAGATTAACATGAGCCATTCCCTAGAAGTTATTACACTTTTGAAGTCCCAGAGAAAGTAAAAAGGAAGACAGCTAGCAGAATCTAGGGGTCTTACTTCAGCAAATATTATACCCCCAAGCAATTGAATTCAGTGAAAATCTGAGTCCATAATTTGGCTCAAAAAGAGAAATCTTTAAAATGATTTCCTAAACCAAAAACTAAACTCCTATCAATATCCCTGTGTACAGCCATCAGATATCACCCACTGGCAAACAGGGAAGAATTTTGAGAGGAGGTTATTAGTTGAGACTATTTTTGAGATGGTTCTGAATTCTTATTACCCAATAGCTTTTATCTATAGTATTCTAAGTAAAACAGCCAGACCTTTAATAACAAACACAATCACTCCCATATAATATTCTAACTGAGATTTTGGACTAGCATTACTGACATTTAAATATACTTATGTGATTCTATAGCTGAGAGTGAGACATCAAACTCATATGAGCAGAGAGTAGAATGGTGTTTATTAGAGACTGGAGGTGGGGGAATGCGGAGATGTTGGCCAAAGGGTACAAAGTTGCAGTTAGATAGAAGAAATACGTGACAAATATTTAAGGTAATGGATATGTTAATTAGCTTGATTCAATCATTCCACACTGTATACATACAACATAACATCACTGTGTACCCCATAATTTTTTATAATTGTAATTTGTCAAAAAATAAAATAATAAAAAAGAAACTCCCATCCTTAATATGAATATTCTAATTCAATTTCCTGGGAATAAAAAGGAAATAATTTTTACAAATCTCTGGCTAGTCAACCTCAAGGATTAGGTAATCACTCTTCTCCCACATGATCAAAACAAAATTTCCTAGGTTTCAGACCTCCCTTTAATTACAATGCAGGATCAATAAATATCATTAACACTATAATGCATCATCTATTTTCTTCTTATTGACTCTTTTCTTTTCCTTCCTTCCTTTCAGTCCTTCTTTTTATGAATTTTATTTAATGCTTCCATGTGACTAAAAATAATCTTTTGCCAAAAGTTTAAATGTAATTAGATAGTTTTGTTGCCATATTATGTCCATCTTAGTCATTCTTTACCACATTATTCTATTTTGTTCATGAAAATCAAATTAGTCGATATTTTTGTTAAACAGCATTTTTCATGGTTTAAAAACTGTATCAGTTTGCTATTACTGATAGTAGTAGTCCTTACTACGAAATATTAGTTTTAGTTAGTTATTTTTGTATTTGTTAATCATCTTGCAAGCTAGGACAAGAGCCTGATGAAATAAAAGATTATCTGTCTTACTCATTGCTGTCACCTACACCTAAAAGAGTGCCTAGCATATTTTAAATGTTCAATAACTAATTGTTGGAAAAACAAATGTCACTGTATACCTCAAAGTTTCATGGCAAAAATAAATACTGATGTGTAGTAAATTGTAAACTAAAAAACCTATTTCTAAAAGATAGAAAAAAGTTAACTTCTGAGTTCAATTTTGAACAAAGCGGAAAAGTGTCCATAGCATATACATATTTGTAATTCATACACTAATATTGAATGTAATTCCACAAAAGTTTTCTAAGAGTATTTTGAGCAATAACAACATATTTTTTTGAGATGGAGTCTTGCTCTTTTGCCGAGGCTGTAGTGCAGTGGTGCCACCTCGGATCTCTGCTCACTGTAGTCTCCACTTCCTGGGTTCAAGCAATTCTTCTGCCTGGGTCTTCCAAGTAGCTGGAATTACAGGCATCCAGCACCATGTCCGGCTGATTTTTGTATTCATAATAGAGACCAGGTTTCTCCATGTTGGCCAAGCTGGTCTCAAACTCCGACCTCAAGTGATCCTCCCACCTCAGCCTCCCAAAGTGTTGGGATTACAGGCGTGAGCCAACGCACCCAGCAACAACATTCTTGTAATAAAGATAAAGCCTCTAAGTAGGCACAATTGAAAGAAAGCCCACAATTCTATTGTATATGTGTTAATTTTCTAGTTATAGTGGGACATCAGTAGTAGTTGATAAATTCATAATGTATACCTATTTACAGAATGTTTATGATTTCTCAAATATTTGTATGTTTTTTGCATATGTTACAGAATTTAATTTTTACAACAGTCTTCCATTTTATAATAGCTATATATGTATACACACACACACATTTATATACATATGTTGTTTTTCAAGTATAGCATTTTTTTCAACTTAGGGTTGTTTTATTTTTTTTTACCTATTGTTTCTTATGCCAAAAAAGCTTCTCTTCCACATATTCTCATGATTTGCTCCCTCACTTTATTCAAGTCATTGTTCAAATATGACTTCCTCAGAGAGCTTTTCTTGATTACCCACCTACAACATGTCCAATGCTATTTCTTACATGATATTTCTTGCAATGATTTGTTGTATGATATTTCTTGTATGATGCAATGAGAATATAATATTAAATACCTGAGGAGTGAAACTATCTTTCTCCTGCTCAACTGTTTCCGCAGCAGCTAAATCAGTGATCAACAAAGAGTAGATGCTCAATAAATATTGGTTGAAATATGGAATAAAATAAGTTAGTGAAAAGCTGGGACACAGAAAGCTTTGGTTTGGACATAGAAAGTTTGGTTTTTGAATGCTCTCTATCAACTACTTGATAGAAGAGTCTGTCTTCTACCAACCTACGTGTATCTATCTATCTGTACTCACATTCTTACATTTTGCGATTCCAATGGACTTGGTATTTCCTGAACCAACCGTTCTGCTTTGAATATTACATACTTCATCTTTCTCGTAGACTTTGCTTTGGCAGTTATCAATTATCTCTCTGGCATCTTCATATTGAAATTCTTCCCTCCCTTAATCATTACCATCAATGACAATACATTACCATTATTCAAACAGTCTCTCACAGAAGTTTAAAAGTCTTCAATGACTCCTCATTCTATTTCAGTTATTTAGCCATTTATCTGATTTCCTTCAAAGCAAAACTTTTCTTCACAGTTCCTCCTAATACGAAATAGAATCCGATTAATTCCACTCAAATGTCAGCCTCCAGAAATGTGAGAAATAAATTTCTGTTGTTTTTAAGCCCCCAAATATATGGTATTTTTTACAGCATCCTGAAACAAGACAACATTTTAAAAACTGAAACACTCAATGTAATATAAGGGGAAAAACCCAAGAATGTAAATTAGGGAATTGAACCATTGCCAGGCTAAACACCTCAAGAAAAATCTGAAAGATGTAGTTTGGATTAAACCAATTGAAGACAGGTTTAGAAGATGGATTTATCCTTCTCCCTTCTGGAAAAAGAAGTATCACTGAAGATTAAGAGGTCACCTTGGAAGGTTAAAAAAAAAAAAAGAAAGAAAGACAATGCAATCCAATAACTATATCTTACTGGGAATTCCAAGTAATGGAGGCTTTACCCAGTGATGAAGCATCTGTGGACCTACCACTTATACATATACTCATTCTTTGTCAGCGATAAGGAGCATGAAAAACAGCGAGACTGTTTCTGGTTCATTTAGGAACTATAGCCAAAAGAAAAAGAAATAGAAGAAGAGCACGATTCTCTCTGACAGAGCTGGCAGCAGCACACAGCCATACCAATTATCTTGAGCAGAAGCCAGATTCAAATGAAAGTTATATAGATAAAAAAGGTAGCACCTTAAAATACCATAAGAAAGAAAAAATGTTAACAAAGCATTTCCTCTCAAGATTGCCTTCTCTATCTATAATTGCTCTCAAGTTGATCAATGACAAAATAATGGTAATATATTTGTGCTTACCAGCCATTCAGTTTAACTTTTCATAAGGGATCTATATAGTGAATTTCACCAAGGCCCAGATAGATTCATCCTTTTAAATGATAAAAACAAATTTTTAAAAGGATGGAACTTTGAAAATATTCTTTAATATGAGAAAAACTTTAAATTTGTGATGAAACTGGAAATTTTATTTGAAAGATATTTATTATTAGAGGTAGAACAACAATTTAAAAGGAACTTTTAAAACGGGGTCTTTTGTGGACATGGGACAATTAAAAAATATAAAATTGTAAAAGCAAATATCAGAAGATAGGAGATAGGATAGCAGATTGGGTTGATAAGGTAATAGTCTAAAGCATTCCTTGATAAGTCATTATGAGTAAGGAGGCTAATATTTTGGTGGAGAAAGTTTAATATAGTCAAATATAAAAGGAACATCACTGAAACATTAAAAAATGAAAAATGTAGGAGAGTGTAAAAAAATCCCTAAGATAGACAAGAAAAGAACAAAGGGATTAATGTACAAAATAATTTAAAATAAAGATGATAAAAGATAAAAAAAATTTTACTTACAGTTAATTTTTCTTATGAGAGAGCCAAACAAATATTATGCATGCAGTGAATAAGATAGAATAAAAAGAAAAATAAGATAAAGGAAATTTTATCTCTCAGTCAAAGGTCAGCACATAAAATTAAAGAAAGGGGATATTTTATAATGAAATACTCTATTTTAAAAGCAAAAAAAATCATCTAAGTAAAATTAAAGCTTACTGCAAAGGTACTTGTCTTACTCTAGATGTTGTAACAAAATATCATAAACTTGGTAACTTATAAAATATATGAATCTATTTCTCATGTTTCTAGGGGCTGGGAATCCAAGACTAAGGCAGATTCAGTGTCTGATTAGAGTCCACTTTCTCACAAATGGCACCTTCTTGCTTTGCCTTCACGTGATGGAAGGATTAAACTAGCCTGCTTGGGTTCATGTTATTAGGATCCTAGTCCCAGTCATGAGGGCTCTGCTCTCATGACCTAATCATCACCCAAGTGCCCCACCTCCTAAGGGCATTTAGACAAAAGATAAGTATTTTTTTAAAAATACTTTTAATCAATACAAAAGCCAAATCAGTTGAACGTTTATTTTAAGATAATTATTTTAATATAGTTATCATTTTAATCATTGTATTTAATTGGTCTCCAAACTGCAATTACATCTTATTTAGATGAAGAAAACAATAAGAATTAATTTTCATTTTTTTTTAATTTTGGATGAAGTGATAAAAAAATTTGTAGTTGCAAATACTATAACATCTATTTCAAAGAAACAGGGACATTAATGAACTAAACATTCTCCTCAGTAAGTAACAAATAGAACTCAAAACAAATCAAGGGTCATCTGATGGAATTATTGAGAATAATAAAGCAGGAATCTAAACACTTAAAAAGAAAATCAATGCAAGTTAGTCAAAATAGAGTTATTTTTAATGAAATAATGAATAACAAAATATGTCCATTTATGATGTTCTTTATATTTACTATTCTATTTCTCTGGGGTTTTTTCCATTGATTTTTTTTCTGTTTCTTCTTAATTATTACAATATAAAGAGTTTTATACATATTGACTTGATATATGAATAAATAACTTATAATTATGTAAAATATAATTTATATTTGTGTCATACATCTTAATGGATTTTTTATTTTTAATAGGTTTTGAGTGTCTAGCTGGCTCTTTTTTTATTTATACATAGAGATAGTACTGCTGAAAATATAGCAAAGCAAGCAGCAGGCATTCAATAAATGTTAGCTAATAGACTTCTTCATCATCATCGTTATCACCATCTTTTGTCAATGAGTAATCCAATTTGGTTCCCAAGAAATTCCTAATGAAGGGAGAAACTGTCTGTATCATGGTTAAAATAATGATTTTCTAGACAGACTGATATCCATGTGCCTTATGAGAATGTACTGTGAAAATCCACAGAATTGAGATAAATCTGGTTGATAATGACCATTGTGGGAACATAAACCCAGGGATTGAATCTCACGTTAATAGGACAGTAGAATCTAAGAAATTTGCCAAATTATTAAATGTGAAAGAGGTGGAGGAGAAGTAGGTAATATTTTGAACTGGGAAGTTGGTAACACTACATTGCTATGAATTTAAATAAGAAAGTAGTAAGATGGAGCTAATTTAGTAGGAATTGGAAAATGATAAATTAATTTTGAAATTTTTGAATTTGAATTTTTCTTCTTAATTAACCTAGGTAAATATACTCTCATAATATTGAAACTCTGAGTTTTAAAAATTGTAAAAAAATTGTCAGAATAATTATAAATGCAATGACAGAATGAGGAGTCCTTTGAGGATAAAAGACAGGGCATAAATTATCATGCAAGAATATAAACTTTAAAGTGATATGTTTACATGAGCTTTTTGTCCCCTAAGAAATAAACTGTTCTGGCAAAGACTTCATAGTCCAACAATATGGCATATTCTTAACTATTCGAGAATTATATCAGAGTATAAAACTTTGGCATGCCTAAAAGTATTTGGAAATGCCATCAGAGCCTGAAAATTTGGCTAGTCATTGGTTACTGGAAACTGTATCATAGCTAGGAAATACGGCCTCCTCCTGTATATATAGAAATTAAATCAGAGCCTAACAACTTGGCATATCCAAAATGATCTTGGAATGTTACCACAGTAGAGTGATTTGGAACAACTTTAAGTATCTGGAATGCCATCCCTGTCCAAAAGCTTGATATTGCACCATACTCATCACTTTCAAAATATGTTCTGTGATAACATTTATAAATGCCCTTGACATTTTAAGACTCCACAATTCTAGATAATTTCATATTTTACATAATCTATAAAGATCACGATTGCTTAGTTTATCCATCCTACTAGGATAATTTTGAAAGTAAAAGGAGCACTGTAATCCTGGGAAAGTAGGCGAAAATTGGGACTGTTATGGGCAAATTTTTTAGTATGTGGAATGGATCTTAATGTATAGGCATAATATTACGACACAGTAGCGAATGACAGAAATCCACCTCACCTTTAGAGTTACTAATTTAAACACAAAGGAGAAAAAAAAGAAAAATGTCTTGGCTTACAATACCAGCCAGTCCACTTCCACCCCCATCAATAAAGAGTTTGGGGCAGATAGAGGTAGTACTAATATATACTACGAATTTCTATCCTGGGATGCAGGATCCACTTGTGTTTGCATGACAATTACACTCATGCCAGAAAGCCCATGAGGTTGAAAAGTGCTTCCACATGCTGATTTGGATTCACATCCTTTGACCCTACAAATCTGAGAGGAAAAAAAAAAAAAAAAGAGGTATTCTCCAGATCCAATTATTTCTGTGAAAGACTTGTGGGTGTGTGTTATTAATCATGGCTGGGAGGGTAGAATAGATATTTTGACCCTGTCTTGGTTGCATGCCTGTTTTTTCAGTAAAGGTGCAAAGTATATTTTAGAAGAGTGCCTGGGAAGGAAGACTTAAAAAAAACAGCTACTAATGTCATTTACTTATTTAAAAGCAATATGGCATAGCATAGATAAGCAGGGGTTTTTTTCTGATTTGAGAGTAAGTTTTTATTCTTCCTTTTTTAAAAAATATGTTTGTTTCCACAGGTTTCTGGGGAACAGGTGGTATTTGGCTACACGCATAAGTTCTTTAGCGGTGATTTGTGAGATTTTGGTGCACCCATAACCTGAGCAATATATACTGAACCCAGTCTGTAGTCTTTTATTTCTCACCCCCTTCCCAACCTTTCCACCTGAGTTGCCAAAGGCCATTGTGTCATTCTTAAGCCTTTGCATCCTCATAGCTTAGCTCCCACTTATGAGTCACAACATATGATGTTTGGTTTTCCATTTCTGAGTTACTTCACTTAGAATAATAGTCTCCAATCTCATCCAGATTGCTGTGAATGCCATTAATTTATTTCTTTTAATGGCTGAGTAGCATTCCATTGTGTGTGTCTGTGTGTGTGTATACATGTATATATATACATATATGAATACATAGACTGTTTTGTGCAGCATGGTCATGTTGATGACATTGATTCTTACAATCTATGAGCATGGGAAGTTTTTCCATTTGTTTTTATCATTTATGATGCCTTTCATAAGTGTTTTATAGTTCTCCTTTTAGAGATCTTTCACATCCTTGCTTAAATGTGTTCCTAGGTATTTTAATTTTGTTGCAATTATTATAAATGAAATTGAGTTATTGATTTGATTCTCATATTCATCATTGTTGGTATATAGAAATGATAATGAATTTTATACATGGATTTTGTATCCTGAAATGTTACAGAAGTAATTTACCAAATCCAGGAATGTTTTAGAGGACCATTTAGAGTTTTTAGAAATAAGATCATGTCGTCAATAAACATAGATAAGTTGACTTATTTTCCAATTAGTGTGCCCTTTATTTCTTTCTCTTTGATTGCTTTAGCTATGACTTCCAGTACTATATTGCATAAGAGTGATGAACATGGGCATCTTTAAATTATCTGACTTCAAATTACACTGAAATAATATGTACAACAACCCCCCAGGACATGTGCTTACCTATGTATCAAACCTTTACTTCTACCCCCAAACCTAAAATAAAAGTTAAAAAATTATACTACAAGGTTATAGTAACAAAAACAGCATGGTGCTGGGATAAAAATAGACACATGGATAAATGAAACAAGATAGGAACATAGAAATAAAGCCACATACTACAACCAACTGATCTTCAACAAAGTCAACAAAAACATGCACTGGAAAATAAGATACACTATTCAATAAATGGTGCTGGGAAAATTGTATAGCCATATGCAGAAAAATAAAACTGGACCAATATATCTTAACCATATACAAAAATTAACTCAAGATAAAAGTTAGATAACCTGAAATTATAAAATTCCTAGAGGAAAACATAAGAGTAACTCTTCTAGATATAGATCTAGGCAAAGAAAATTTATAACTAAGTCTTCAAAAACAATGCAACAAAACCAAAACAGAAAAATGAGATTTAATTAAACTAAAAAGCTTCTGCACAGCCAAATAAATGATTAAGTAAAAAGGCAAGCTGCAGGATGGGAAAAATGCTTGCGAACTATTCATCCAACAAAGAGCTAATATACAGAATCTACAAGGAACTCAAATAATTCAACAAGGAAAAATCTACCCTATTAAAAAGTGTGCAAATGACATAAGCAGATAGTTTTCCAAAGCATACATACAGCCAAAAAATCATGAAAGAATGCTCAACATCATTAATTATCAAAGAAATACAAATCAAAACCACAATGATACCGTCTCATACTGGTGAGACTGGGTATTACTAAAAAGTCAAAAAACAACAGATGTGAGGATATGGAGAAAAGGGAATGCTTATATACTGCTTGTGGGAATATAAACTAGTACAACCCTTATGGAAAACAGTATGGAGATTTCTCAAAGAACTAAAAAATGAACTACCATTTAATCCAGCAATTCCAGTACTGGGTATATACTCAAATAAAAAGAAGCAATTATATCAAAAGATACCTGCACTTGTATGCTTATTGCAACACAATTCACAATAGCTGTGTCATAGAATCAAATCAACCTAAGTGTCCATCAACCAATGAGTGGATAAAAAAATTTTTTAATGTGGAGATATATATATATATATATATACACACACATACATATATCTATATATGTGTATATATATGTGTGTATATATACACCATGATATACCACTGAGCCATAAAAAAGGAATAAAATCATGTCTTCTGCAGCAACATGGATGGATCTGGAGGCCATTATCTTAAGTGAAATGACTCATATACAGAAAGTCAAACACTGCATGTTCTCACTTGTAAGTGGGAATTAAACAGTGGGTATACATGAACATACAGAGTGTAATAATGGATACTGGAGATACTAAAAGGCAAGTAAATAGAGAGGATGAGGGTTGAATAATTACCTGTTGGATACGATATTCACTATTCAAGTGATGAGTACACTCAAAGCCCAGACTTCACCACTACACAATATATGAATGTAAAAGTATGCACTTGTGCCCACTAAATCTGTGAAAATAAAAAATTAAAGAAAATAAAAATTAAAAATTATAATATAGTTAATTGTTAAAAATAAAAGCTATTCCAATCTTTTTCTCACTTTTTTGTTGTTCAAAATATGACGATGTAAAATGTTTGTTTAAAGATTATTTAATTATAATTTTTGTATTTCTTTTAATCTTTTAACTTTTAAAATTTGACATAATTGTGTATGAAAAGAGAGTTGTAAAATGCTAGGCAGTTCCATTAACCCCTCATCTAGAGTTTTCATTGAGGTATCATGTTTCCTTAGTCTTCCTTCAATCTTTGAAAATCCCACTGTCTTTAGTTTGCTTGTATTTGTTTGTTTGTTTATGATATTGCCATCTTTATAAAGTATTGGCCAGTTATTTTCTTGAAAGTTGCTCCATTTGCTTTTGTGTTTTTTTTGTTTATGATTAAATAGAGAATATGTATTAATGGAAAGGATGCCACAGAGGGAATATTCCCTTATCAGAAAGTACTTACTGTAACATGTATTACTGGTAATACTTTTCTTGATCACTTAGTTAAGGTGATATCTGCTAGTAATCTCTATGGAAAAGTCTTTATTTTTTCATTAGTAATTGTAAATATGTTAGATTTTGTAAGACTATTTCCACTTTTCCATTTGTAATTACAAAAACAGTGAGGAAGATTCTTTGACTATTCAAATATTATATTTCTGACTCAAATCCTACTGACAAGTTTTACTACCATTTGGTAGATATAGCCTACAACTATTATTTCTGATATGACATTTCCAATAGTAATTTTCTATTTCTCTCATTCATTCTACATTTACTGATTGGAATCTGGCTGTAATGAAGAATTGTCTCTTATGCCTATTGAGTTTTTTATTCTGTTATTAGTTTATAAAACCATGGACTCACGGATATCTGTTTGCTTCTTTGGATTGAAATCTGATGTCATGTTATCTATTTAGTTGTTTAAATTGTTTCTACTTTGCTTTCCCCAGCACTACAATTAACCCGTTCTCCACAGAGCCCTGGTTTGTTTAATTGAAAAATGGCATTTAGAAACTAATGTATGAGTGTCATGATTATAGCTATTGCAGTTTCACTGTTTCTGGTCCTTTATAGTGGATAGAGTTTGGGAATATAGAGAGAGATACGTACGTAAACAAATACAAGCTTACACGTGAATATTCTTTAATCTACCTATGTTGTGTGTGTGTTCCAATAAAACATAAAAGTCAGCAAGTCTTATAATGTGATGTGATGAAAATGCAATAGCATATATATATATCCTATATATAATACCATATAATATATAGTATTATAATATAGATATACTATCTATAGTATTATAATATATTTAGATATATATCTCTCTATATAATGCTATACTATATATACCCCAAATGCATATAATACCATATATTTACTATATATAATACTATACATTTTGAAGACATATAGTATTATCTATTTATTAATATATATTTACTACAATATAGTATGTATATATCTATACATAGATACAGATATACGTATATATCTATACATAGATACAGATATACGTATATATCTATACATAGATACAGATATACGTATATATCTATACATAGATACAGATATATGTATATATATTTACATAGATACAGATATATGTATATATATTTACATAGTATACATTTAGAAGACAGAAAGATATAGATACATATATTATTTGTTCTGTATATGTGTGTGTGTACATATATATCTTATATATCCATATCTATACTTATATTTATAGATGTATCTATTTTATATCTGCATACATAGAGGGTATATATGTATTTATATTTACATTTTGTACTTTTATATGCCACCTTACAACTATAACACTTCCACATGGAAAATGAGAAATTACAGTTGATCAATTATTGGAATAAAATCAATGTCTTATATTCAAAGAATGTTCAGCTACCACACTTTCATTACATCCCAAGATTTGCTGAAGTGTTATATCAATCTAATTAAATAATAAAGTCATATAATTATTAGTTAAAATCTTTCTTACTCATGCAGAAAATTAAATTCTTACTCATACTTGCTCTTTTTGGGTCTATACATAGTAAAAATATGTTTGCAATACATAAAAATATACATATCTGCCATTGCCTTTGATTTTAGCAATTGCTGCAGATTGTTGTGATTTTGCTGCAATGACTAGCATCAACTGTGAAGAAAGGAATTTTTAAGAACATATTTAAAACTGTAAAAGCTATATTCTTTTAATACCTCACTTGAAAGTTTTTCAAATATCTGCAACCACACAAAAAAGACAAAACTGAAATTGAGAAGAATCTCCATCTACCGACTCTGATAGATAATTGTATGATTTTCACATAGTGAACTTTTTATAATTTTTGATAAAAATACATAGAACGGGAAATACAATAGTCCTTTCAGGCTACAATATACAGGAATGACCTCTTTTGTATTTGTTCAATGTCATATGTTATTTGAATTTAAAATGTTTT
Organism: Homo sapiens; assembly: GCF_000001405.40. NCBI lineage: Eukaryota > Metazoa > Chordata > Mammalia > Primates > Hominidae > Homo > Homo sapiens. The sequence goes on from NC_000013.11 coordinate 83,552,587, forward strand.
GGATAAGCTTAATCTGGATATCAAATAAATGAATATAAATGTATGTGAGCTAGCACCCTGTCTTTATTTATAAAATCTGGCTATTTTCAAGCTATATTTTATGGTTGTCACTAGTGTCAATTACATGATCTGCATAATAACTACTAATTAAATGCACAAGTTGGAAGTTTAGTTTAACTCCACAGTATTATTACATTACTTTTCAATAATGACACCAGTGTTCTTCACACACACACACACACACACACACACACACACACACTCCATTAAAAACTTACTGTAGAGATACACTATGTGTTTACCAAACTCAGGAATCCAAACACTACTTACTTCATTTAAGACATACATGTAGCATAACTTAATATATTGAATTTCCCCCTCATTAAATTATTTGTTTCAAGTGGAAGCAAGCATCTCAAAGCCTGCCTTCGAAGGCTCATTTATCAAGCCAGAGTCATCCCTAATAATAAAATGAAAAATAACATAAAATAAATGGCAGACCAATGTACCTGAAAAAGATACATACAAAAATCATTAACAGAAGGGTACTACTTCATAAACAATTGGGATTTGAGAAATACAGTGTTGTTTAAAATTTTTTAAAGACAAACAAATAAAGAAAAAGGTAATTCACTATTTTAACTGAAGAAAATTATATAATTACATTATATCATGAAATTTAAAGTATTCCTTTCTTAAATATATGATAGTATTCACCAGTGTAAGCAAATGGGCTTGAAAATTCATATTTTAGAAAGGGCTTTATATTAATTTAAAATTTAATGTATCTAATATGTATGATGCATACTTCATTTTGTATCTTTTCTTTTATTAGCATGGTTAAGGTACTTTTCAAGAAATTGGTGCATCTCATTTAATTTATCAAATATATTGACATAAAGTTGTTTTATAATTAGTATCTTTTATCTTTAACACCTGTAAAATCTAAAGGATTGTCCCCTCTTTCATTCATGATATTGGTAATTTATATTTCCTACATATTATTTCAAATTACCTTAAAAAGATTCAACAGCCTATTAATCTTTTACCTGCTTTGAGTTATGTTAATTTTATCTATTATGTCTTTGTTTTCTGTGGGTTTGCTTCATTCTTACTTTTATCATTTTCTTCATTCTATCTGCTTGAGGTATAATTTTCTCTCCTTTTTCTAGCTTCTGGAAGTGGAAGTGAGATCATTTTTGTACAATTTTTTCTTATTTTCTTTCTCTTTCTATTCTTTGTCATCCTTTTTCCTCCTCTTTTTTTCCCTTTCTCTCCTTTTCCTTCTTCTTCTTCATTTTTAACGATCATTTGCCACTATATATTTTTGTCTAAAAAATCACTTTACCTGCAAGTCTCCAATTTTGATGTGTTCTTAATGCAATTCCATTAAAAACATATTCTAATTTTCTTTGTCTTTTCTGTTTTGACCCATTGATTATTTGGTAGAGTATTATTTAACTTAGAAAAATGTCATGAATTTCTAGATACTTTTTATTGATTGCTTTTTACCTTTATTTCTACACTTGCCTGCAAATGCAACATTTAGGTCATCTTTGATTCTGTTGTTACTTCATAATAGTTTACAAATTTTTTACCTGTCAATTTTTAGTTGTATGGTCCTCTTAGATGATATGTTGTAGTGTTTTAAGGAGTCTGAATTATGTTTTCTTCACTTAATGATTGATGAAATTTGTTATAATTGTCAAATAACTGGTAGATCTTCTTGGGCTTTTGTACAGTTTTATTTTCTTTATATAAAGATTTATTTTAAAAATGTTTATTTCGACCGGTTGCAGTGGCTCACACCTGTAATCCCAGCACTTTGGGAGGCCGGGGCAGGCAGATCACGAGGTCAAGAGATCGAGACCATCCTGGCCAACATGGTGAAACACTGTCTCTACTAAAAATACAAAAATTAGCTGGTCCTGGTGGTGTACTCCTAGATTTCATCTACTAGGGAGGCTGAGGCAGGAGAATCGCTTGAACCCGGGAGACGGAGGTTGCAGTGAGCCGAGATTGTGCCACTACATTCCAGCCTGGTGACAGAGTGAGACTCTGTCTCAAAAAAAAAAAAAAAAAAAAAAAAAAAGTTTATTTCACTATTTCACTTTCACTTTTGGTCTTAGTTCTGGGGCATGTCTTTTCATCTAGAATATATTACTAACTCCTAAATTAGTAAAATGAATGACCAGAGCTCAGTGGGATATGTTTCTTCTCGCTAGGCTAGGCTGAGATTCCAACACGCTTCAGCCCTGAATAACTTTCTATCAACATTAGCTTCTCAGTCATGCAACAATTAGAATCTACTGGGCCTCAGAGAGTCTCCCCGTGCATGTGCAGCCTAGTCTCGTCTGAAGAACCATAATGAACCTCCACAAAAATTGTTGATCACCTGCTCTGCTCAGCTCTTTTTTCTTTAGGAAACTGATCCTGAAATCCAACTTTGGAAGAAACCTGCTTCCTCAGGCTACTGCGAGCTGAAAGTTCTGCTTATCTTTATCTCACTGTGCTATGAAAGGAGATTTTTCTCAGACAGAAGGCAGAGAAAATGTAGATTTCTTTATATATTTACCCTTTTCAAGGATGAGGGTCTTGCATTGTTTATCATACAGTACATGCAAATAGTTGTTACATATATTTGTCAAATGTTGTAAGTATAACATCAGGAGGGTTATTCTGTACTAATTAGTCAATCACGTTTGAAAACATCAATTAGTAATTACTTTTCATTAGCATTTATTACACATGTATCAGTCTTATGATATTGTATATGTGCTTTAGGATAGACTAAATTTTAAAAAGTGATTCAATTTAAGAAAGTTACTAATTAAAAGAGAGCACAAGGTGATATGTAGCCATGTCAAAATATATAAATAAGATGGGTGGATGATTAATGTTTCAGAAATCTTAGTAACTTGATTAAGAACATTGACTCAGAATTTTCAGTCCCACATTAATAAATTTGATCCCATCTCCACAGCACATGAGCTGCTTTGTTTGTTTGCTTGTCTCAATTACCCAATAACTCCAAATCTCAGTTACCAATGGGTAAACACGACTAATACTATTAATGTATTAATACTATTAGTGACTATTAATAGCAAATAGTCAATATCTAATACATGCAATTAGAACTAAAAAAGATACAGTAGAAGGACAACGTATGCCACTTTGTCTTCAAGAATTTGTGCATTCTGGGTTGAAAGAGGGAGAGAAAGAAAGGGGGATAAGGAGAGAGAGAGAGAGAAGTTTCACCTTAAGGTATTCTACTCAAAAAGCATCATACCAGCAAGAGGGAGGATGGGGTGAGTTCTACAATGTAGAAGTACACACCAGCACCCTGGGTTTGTATCTAACTCATTCCGGTTATCTACAGCTGCATAACTCTAACGAATCACTACAAATCTTAGTGGCTAAAAACCAATTACAATCATTTTAGTTCCTATTATGGTTCCTATGGGTCAAGAATTTGGAAGAACTCGGCTTGATGATTTTGGCTCAGGGTCTCTCATGTAGGTGCCATCTGGCAGTGGCTCAACTAGACTTGGTTAATATTCTGGTCTCCAATCCAGTGTATTACTAACATACAAACAAGGACAGCATTAATTATATGTAGTCACCTGATGTCCTGACTTAGAATTTGACTGCATTAGAAGATATTCTCTAATGTATACATGTGGTTTTAATAAGTCTGTTACACATACTAAGAATTTTTCATAAATTTGTAACTAGTATATTTACCATTGGACTTTTTAAAAATTTATAGATTAAAGTGGAAAAAATTCAATTGTCTTTAAAGATCTTTTTAGAAAAGTAAAAAATCAACACTTTGGAAGTTTAGAAAATTGATACTTTGTGAGACCAGCATGCATTTTTTAGATAATCTCAGAATTCACTTGGTTATTGGTAAGTCAGCACAGCTGGTACCCATGATCTTTCCAACAAGAGTATGTATGCTTAACAAGAAAATGTATCCTTAAATATGGATTTTATAACTCAGTGAGTAAATTTTTAAAATGCAGAAAATCTGTAAATAAAGCCTATTCAGAAGTCTCCAAAGGCCAGCTATGTAGTACCTGCTAACACTATAAAAAAATATACTTTGGGTAAGGGCAAAGCTTAATATATCAAGGTAAAATTTTGCTTAAATGAAGTAAGTAGTGCTTATATTCCTGGGTTTGCTAAAAACATTGTGCTTCTCTATAATAAAATGTTAATAAAATTTATATATGTGTGTATGCATGTGTAAAAATATATGTGTGTATATGTGCCCATGTGCATGTTCATGCATAAAACTGCTTGAAGATGTTAATTATGAGCTGCATCCCATAGATAATAGCAAGCAGTTCCAGTAGTTGCAATTAATTCCTCTAGAAGCTTTTAAAAGAGCATGACAATAGGTGATTATAAGTCTATCTTTTCGTGCCCCACTAACTATTATTGAGATCTCATGCCTATTGGATGTCTATAGAATTTGTACCATATACTTTATTATCAACTTTTTAAAGCAACACTTTGACAAGGATATGTAGGTCTCTGTATTAGTTAGGGTTCTCCTGAGAAACAGGACTAACTGAAGATATTAATATTTTTATGTCTATATAAAATGTTTTATTTTTCATCTATAAAAGTATTTATTATTTTTGTATTTATATAAAATATTTATAATGGGCAATTAGTTCACAGGATCAGAGAGGCTGAGAAGTCTTACTATCTGCCAGCTGAAAATTGTGGACCTAAGATATTCAGAGAGATCAGTCTGAGTCTGAAGGCTGGAGAACCAGGGTAGCCAATCCCGTAGTCTCAGTCTGAGAGCATGCAAAGGCCAGTGCTCAGCTCTCATTCAGGCTGGAGGAGTGAATGGTCTCTCCTTTTATCTTTTGTTCTATTCAAGCCCTCAACAGATTTGATAATACTCATCTACATTGGTGAGGGTAATCTGCTTTACTGAGTCCACTCATTCAAACATTCATTTCTTCCAGAAACATACAGATAAACATATCCAGGAATAATGTGTTCTCTGGCACCACATGTCTCAATCAAGTGGACAAATAAAATTAGGAATTATAGTCTCCAAATTAAATATCAAAACTTTATAATGAATATCAAAACATGGTTTGAAATGCAGAATGAGAGCTATTTAACATTACTTGGAATGGAAAAAGATGCAACTCTTTAAAGCACAAATAACATGGTAAAGTATCCATATTTAATTTACAAACTAGTGTCAAGAGGCAAAAAATTTAAAACATTATTTCTTGTCACAGATATTTAATATGTTTGTGAATAAGCAGATGCTTTGTAGGCAATAACGTCTTCTGTGATAACAGCGAGGGAATGTGTTTGTTGATATTCACACATTTAAAAATGTCTGCTAGTGATTCTGCCTAACAATTACTTTTATAATGTAACTTTAATCTTCTTTCCTTTAGTGTTGTATTAAAATATTGCACAATATGTTGAGGTGTAAGTCATTTCCTTACATATATTTTAATGTGAGACATATTGATTAATGAAGTATGTATATGATAGTGTTTCCATTTTGCAGATGAAGAAGCTGGACATTTTGTCAATGTAAGATTGGGTAAGCACCAGTCAATGTTGCAAAGAATTGGTGGTTAGAGAAGAGGACTACTGACATCTTTCAAGTTTCTCTGACTTGCTAAGAGAGAGACAGAGAGAGGGAGAGTTTTTGTTGTTTCAGTATCTTTGTTCTTATTTTATGATCTTAGGCTAGCCTCTTGTAATTTGCATCATTTTATATTTCACCTTTGATAAGATTAGTTAACGTAAAAGATTAGTTAATATGAAGTTTTCCTTGCTGACAAGTTAGATTTTTAAGATTATAAAGCTAAGCAAGATGGCAAATCTACCAAAGTAAGTGCCACATTTACCAAGGCCTTTGTCTGTAAAATATCAGCTGAAACAAAGTTCATTTGAAAGAAAACAAAAATAATAGGTACTTGTGAATAAATCTTATTTGGATGTAAGGCTTTGGGAGATGCAACGTTAAGATGAGGTCATACTGAACTAAGGTGGACTCTAAATTCAAAATGACTGAGGTCTTTAAAAGAAGACACAGAGACACAGTCACATGCACAGAGAAGTGTGCTACATGAAGAGGAGGCAGAAACAGAAATGATGCAGCTTCAAGTCAAGGAATGCCAAGGACTGCTGACAACCACGAGAAGCTAGAAAGAGGCAAAGAAGGGTGCTTCTCTAGAACTCTCAGAGAGAATGTGGCCCTGCCAAAACCTTGAGTTTGGACTTCTGACCTTCAGAACTGAGAGAATAAATTTCCATTGTTTTAAGCCACCCAGTTTGTGGTACTTTGTCAAAGCAGCCTGAGGAAACGAATACATACTGTAAATAATAGTTATATTTATCCAGAAATAATTACTACTTTTGATTATCATTTATTGACTCAAAACAGACTCTCCAACATAGAACCACTTTGTAATCAACACAGTTGCATTCTTTCACATTTGTTCTAGGTAGAATTTCTTAGTGGTAAAATGTCGGTTTACGTTTGTCTAAAATGTCTTTATTTATTTGAATTTCAAGAAAGCACCTCAACAAATATTTGTTGAATAGTTGAGTAAATAATAGAGTTAAATAACAAACTTTAAAAAATCATACTGATCCTTTTAAAGGTCTTTCAATTTTAAGGCCGGGTGCGGTGGCCCACGCCTGTAATCCCAGCACTTTGGGAGGCATAGGCAGATGCATCACAAGGTAAAGAGATCGAGACCATCTGGCCAACATGGTGAAACCCCATCTCTACTAAAAATACAAAAATTAACTGGGCGTGGTGGTGTGTGCCTATAGGCCCAGCTACTCGGGAGGCTGAGGCAGGAGAATTGCTGGAACCCGGGAGGTGGAGGTCGCAGTGAGCCGAGATTGTGCCATTGCACTCTAGTCTGGCAACAGAGCAAGACTCTGTCTCAAAAAACAAAAAACAAAAACAAAAACAAACCAAAAAAAAAAAAGGTCTTTCAATTTTGAATTGTCCTAAAAAAATTAGTTTTAAAATGCTATGACTATAGTAGCCCAGCAGCCAGCACATTTTTACATTCTTAACTAAATTTTATGTTTTGCCTATTTATTTTATTATAAGCCATATTGTAAAATTTTATGTGCTTATAAAAACTCTTTATAACCTAACAGGTAAAGTGAAGCCATATGTGAGGTGCAAATGACCTTATCAAATAATTAGTTACTTCATACTTACTGTAATTTACAAAGAATTTCTTCAGTAATTTTATATTTATTCAAACCTACAGACCCACATGCCTTGCTAAACTCATTGATAAGATTGCTTTTTAATAGTGTTAAGAAAGAGTAACTAATTTGGCCAGGTTTCTTCCTTTCTGGCTACAGTTCTTTGCTTATTGAATGAGTATTGATCAACAGAGGCACCAGGGCAAAACTTAACCTTTTGAAATTTGGAAATTTTTCTCTTCCAAAAGTACTAAGGGAGAGAAAGTAAAAAGTCTTTCCCTCCAAGCAACTGTAGTGTCGAGGTGGAACAGTCTGGAAGTCTTGAACATTGAGCAGCCAGGGCAGGTGTTTTGTTTATATAAACACTATTCTTTTTGGAATGGCTCCTAGAAAGAAACTCACAGGCCATTACTACATCTGTCGATCAGTTCATTCCATAAGCCAAGAGTGTGAAAATCCAGATCAAAGTTAAGACTTGCAATCAATCATGAAATTGTAACACTTTTTTTAATGCCTGAGAAAAGTTCACATACTTACTTGATTCAGTTGTGGTTAATAAATTATGTTTTATTTTGAATAGTCTTGGAAAAAGTAGTTCCAAAATAATTAACTTCAAATTAAACTAAAAACTTTTTTTTATTTCTTGTCACATAAAACACCAAAGAACAAACTTTTTGGTTCATAAAGCTCAAGAAAATTTTAACTGGTGGTGGCCATGTGTAATGAAAATTCATGAACCAAAAACAACTTTAAATTAAACAAATTTTAATAATTTGAGTTTAAACAATAAAAGTCAAATTAACATATTAAAGGTACATGAAATAAGATGATACTGTCATTACATTTCTAAAACAGCAAACATTACCTCCTGCATAATTGGCTATATTTTATACAATATGTAATAATAAGTAATCAGCTATCTTCTTATAACTGGCAGTATTAATTTTAGACAAAAGTTTAATTAATATAAGGTACCTCTAAATACAGTTTCCTATGACCTTATGTCTAAGGTTGAATAGATACATTTACAAAATTATAACCACTTAATCATATTAAATAAAATAAAAGGTGCCAAGCATGATGGCTCTCTCATGTACTCCCAGCACTTTGGGAGGCTGAAACAGGAGGATCTCTTGAGCCAAGGAGTTCAAAGTTGTAGTCAGCTATGATTGTGCCACTGCACTCCAGCCTGGACATTAGAGAGAGACCCTGTCTCAAAACAAAACAAAACAAAATAATAATAATATTAAAGGTGCTTAGTTTTATTAAAATAATGACGTAAAACTGTCAGTTGTCAACAGCACTTATAAATCCTAGTGTTCTGGAAAATATTAGTTAAAAATTTCTATGTGAGATATTTTAATGTTCTTTCGTATAACTGAAATTTCTTCTACTTTAATATTTTTCTCAAAAAGTGAGCATATTTTACTATAAGCATTGTATTTAACCAAATTTTTACATTCTTAAACCCAACACTTTAATGCATATTCAGTTGTTCAGTAAACACAAACTTTGAGCTGCCTACATGGAATTGACCAAAAATGATCACAATGTAGCTAGGTGGGCATGCTAATAAATCATGATAATTTGTGATGGGTTATAAAAGTATATATATTCAAATTTCTTTAGGATTACAGAGGAGAGACACTTCATTTCATTAAGTGCATAGTGTATGGCATGATGAAGATGAGAAACGACAAATAGAAATTTGATAGTAAAACTTGAAGTTTGATTGAGTAACTCCAGAGAATAGTTGACATTCATTTTGATTATGAGTCAACAATATAATATGAACATGAATTTAAGCAATGTTTATGATAAATAATATCTTGAAAAATTACACTAATAATGCTATTCTGAAGACAAATCTACACCTGAAAAATAATATTTTCTTCTGGGCCCTATATTTGAAGAGAGAATGTACAATCTGAACTTTATTCATGGCAATCAGTCATAATTATTAATAATTTGTTACTAAGGCAAATGTAGTAAGTTCTTGTTATTTTAGATTTTCATCGTTATTCTGGATGACAATAGAATTTTGTTTTGTTCTGTTCATCCTCATAATGCACCATACTCTTCCATCTGTACCTTCCTCTTATAATCATCATAGCAGATATCTAGTTTTCTCCCCTAATATTAGAAGTTCAAAGCAGAGTCTTCGCATTCTTAGTAGTTTCATTCGTATATCTCGAGTTACAAGGAAAACCTTCTTGAATTCTAATGCTAAGGTTAAGACATTATGCCATTAATTCACTTATATTTTACTTGATAGTGGAAGACCTATATTCTTTTGCAAGGTAACAACTAGCAGTTCATTTTACTATTACTCTTGTTATTATCGTCTTTTGTAGCAGCAGACACAGCATCATCATCTTCATCATCATCATCATCATCATCCTCACTGTTACCAACATTATTAAGAGGTCTGGGATAGTTGTATACAAAAATCTTGTGTCAGGATTTTCACTATGCCTTGATGATTCTATTGGCTTACCTGTATTTTTCCCTTTTGATAAAAGTTCTCTTAAATTGTTTTTTTCTGTTATTTTTTGCCAGATAGACATTCTTGTGTTACTCATTTTCAAATTTGTATTACTAATTTTTTATTTACTGAAGATCAGATGCCTGATGGAACAGCAGTTAAAGCAATTTTTAATTAAACATTTATTTATTAACAGAGTAGCTGATATTATCATGGGCACTGAAATAAATATATATATGTATATATATACACACACATAAGTATATATATATGCTGTTGCATGTATTACCTCATTGAATTCTTATCAATATTAATGATATAGTCCTCCTGTTGAATATGATGTACATTTTTATATAAAAAATTTGAGGCAGGAAAAGGTTAAGTAATTTTCTCATACTCACTCATCAGGTGGTGATATGTCCAGACTTGAACTGTACTTTGGTCTAACGCTAATACAGGATTCTTATCTACCCAGCTCTACTCTTATTTATTATGCATGATTATTACTTGTTCATTTTTTTTGTCTGTCTGATTTGTAATTTTTCATGTTTCTGTATGCCTATGATTGTTCTTCCATGACAATCCAAAAAAATGTAAATTCTCAAAACAAATTCCAAAGGAATCAGAAGCCAAACAATTTGATGGTGTTATTTTGCTCATATATTAATCAAGCAAGGAAATTTATCACAGAAAATAATTACCAAAAATGAGGAAGTGGACCAAAAGGAAAAGAAAACAATAAAAGCAAGTGGCAAAGAAAAATAGTGAAAAAAGGGAATGTTAGTGCATATGTCTGTTAGTTCCACAATTGGATAGAGTCTTCATTAGCAAGACAACAGATTTCAGTCTACGCAGTCCTTCAATTGTTATCTCCTTGAATAAGCTTAAAACACCTGTCATCCCAAATTTAAGTTCCCAATTATTTGAGAAATAAGCTCTGTTAAGTCCTTTCTTAAAGGTAAAGGTGCAATGTATTTCTTTGGGAAAAAAAAAGTGCCATTTAAAAACGATATTTTCTAGTCTTTAGTTAAAAATGCCCAGTATAGACTTGTTTGCATTCTTACCTTTAAACATTGACTATATATTTGATCTTATTAAATTCCACCTGTAGCTTTCTTTCTACATTTTTGTTTCACTTGAATTATTTTTATATTGAGTTGCTATAGTTTGGTTTGTGTGACCCCTTCAAATGTCATGTTATAATTACATCTCCAGTGTTGAAGGTGGGGTTTAATGGAAGATGCTTGCGTCATGGGACTAGATCTGTAATGAACAAGTTAATGTTCTCCCTGGGAGGGGGTGATCAATGAGCTCTCACTCATTAGTTTTCCGTAGAGCTAGTTGTTAAAAGGAGCCTGGCACCTCCCCTCTCTCTTGCTTCCTCTCTTGCGGTGTGATCTCTACACACTGGCTCCCCTTCCTCTTCCGCAGTGAATGGAAGTAGCCTGCAGCCCTCACCAGAAGCAGATGCTTCTACCCTGTTTCACACACAGCCTGCAAAACCATGAGCTAAATAAACCCATTCTCTGTCTAAATCACCCAGCCTCGGGTATTCCTTTACAGCAACTCAAAACAGACTAAGTTCTTATATCAGTGTTTAGAATATGTAAACACTGCAGTTCTTATAGCAGTGTTTAGAATATGTAAAAAATATCAGTAGAACATCAAAATGAGTAATCTACAACTTTAATTCCTACCCAAATTTTCAGGGTTCAAAAAGGAATGGGCCACGCATGGTGGTTCATACCAACAATCCCAGCATTTTGGAAGGCTGAGGAGGGAGAATTGTTTGAGACCAGCAGTTCCGGACCAGCCTGGTAACGTAGCAAGACCACGACCACGTCTTGTTGAAATGAAAACAAAGAAGAATGTTAGTGCATATGTCTCTTAGTGTTCAAAAATATAATTTATACATAACAAATTTCAAAATTAATTCAATTTGTATATTTTAATAATAATGATAGATATAATTTATTTATACATATTTTTGTGTTTTTTTCTCAGACGAATTATTACACTGAGATGACTAGATAATCCAGCTAAAGAGGAAGCTTGTATTTCAATGACTTCATCAGTTGTGTGGTTAATTTGATTGTACTTTATTGTATAAGGAATTATTACAAAAATTTTTACATGTACAACACAATATTGTTATAACAGATACTCAAATATTTAAAATTTAGTTAAGCTTAACATTATCTCACTATTATCTTTGCCATTTATATTTGCTTGCAATATTGAAATACCCCAGATTTGTTATTAGATTTTGAAAAGTGAGAGTATGAAAACTGAAATTGTATATTTTATTCAGTAAGAATAAAATGAAATATATATTCATATACAAGTTAATGAGGTTCTTTATATAAAATCACAGTCCTCACATGAATCATGTGGTGAGCTGTGGCTACTTGAAAAGCTCTAAATTTTTTCTAACCAAACTGTTGCACTGCAGACATGTGGTTTTGTAGTTAGCATGAATAAAATTTGAGTTGTTTTGTTTCAAAAGCTAAATTCAATTAAACAATGATTTCTTTTTAAAGTGTGTTAAATTTGTCATATATTTAAAATGTAAAGTAGAAAATATGGGAATTCTCTAAATAAGTATATGTTGTTAAAAATATATTTGAATGATGATCACCTTACTTTGGCTTAAGATAATTGTGGGGTAGGGGTTAATTCAAATTTAAAAATATCAAAAGGCATGGTTTATAATATTTAAGACAGTTAATTTTAATAAATAAGGATAACTTTTACTTTAAAAGACCACAAAACCTGAAGACTCTTGAGTAAGAAAGGACAACGAATTGAGGTTTTAAAAGTTTACATAGTATATTAAAAGCCACAGACAATATATACTTAAATAAAAAACTGAAAATATTTTTAAAGACCAGTGATCACCAGACTCTCGGAATTTGAAAGCTACATCTTTTGTTCAGTTGAGTTCTAACCAGGAAATCTTGTTATTATTTTGCTGTTGATGCTTCCTAACAAATAGCATGTGGAAATCATCTAGCAATTTGTTAGGAAATCTTCCTCCTAAGACTATGCTTTTTAGTTTATCGACTCCAAAGCTATTATGAAAGACATTTTTCCAGTATTAAAATTCCTATGATCGATGCACAATCCATTTTAGAGATGCTTTATTTTTCCTTCCTGTTTTCCTCCTTACCCTTCTTTTATCTTATTTTCTTCACATTGCCTGAGAGAATAAAATGGTCCTTAACGTTGACTAAGCCCCACATTATGTAAATGGTAATGCTCTCTTGGGCCCAGAGAATTGTAGAGCTCTTGTTATATTTGCTAGTTCAGGATATTTTAAAATTTGCTTTAGCTTCATTGGATTACACCTTAATTTGACATATATGAAATAAAATCTCTCTCTATATATATATATGTGACAAAATTTATTAATAAATATGCTACATTATTTTAATCTTGATTTTTAAAATGTTTAATTATACCTAATATTTTAATGATTATGCAAAATTATTTATCTGACAAATGCTTCTGTTTCAATAGTTTTTTAGTGAATTTTGAAAATAATTCATTCGTTTCATTTGTAAAATGAGCCAAACAGAATGTTGCATAATAAAATTTGATCTGTTACCATACAATTGAATTAATATACTACTATTAGATGTGTTAGGTCATAAGTCTAACTTTACAATGTGCTAAGTACTTATAATGCAGTATGGATTTTGATATCTAATAAGAAAGTATAAAAAATTGATAATTTTACTTTGGACTTTAAAAATTATAAACACTAAAGATTTAGCATTAATTACCTTTCTTTGATAGTATATATTTTGTCTCAATATCACAAAATTAAGATGGTCTTTAGATTATTTTCCCCGCTGAACTTTACTTTTATCATACTAACAATTTTATCAAAAAATTTAAAATATTAGTTCAAATTAAAAGCCAAAATTTGAGGGCAAAGGGCTTTCATTATTAAGCATATAACAGCACCTCAGTATCTTTCTCAGTGAAGGCTAATAAAATCACTCTACTTACAATCCAACTCTTATAAAAAGTGAATTACAGTAATTGTATGTCTAAATAATATACTTAGAAAAAGTACACCTTAACTAATTCTTGTTGCCTTGGAAATATAAAATACTACAGTTCCTTTCCTCTATGTTCCATTTTTTAAATTTTTTAAACTAATGCTATTATTTTACTGATTCTTTTTCAAATCATTCAGTTTTTTTTTACTTAAAAATATAAAATTGGCCTGTTATATAATATTAAATAAAATACTTAGTATTTTTGACACTTTTAATTTATGGTAACCATTCACAACACAAATTGATAAGGACAAGTACATCTTTATTCAAATTAGCTCTCAAAACTGCTTAGTGAGCAAACAGGCATAGTATTCATCTAGATGCTATAGTAATTAAGTCAGACACCAGAGGCTGGAACAATTTCTTTTAATTTGATATATCAAGGACCAAATGGATGAACCATGGTAAAAAAAAAAAAAAAAAAGACATTTCTGGGTTTATAAATTTGAGTTATTCTTTTGACAGGTAAATAAATTCCTGTGATTAAAATATTTAATAAACTTTAAGCATGTCTCTAATATTTGGCCTGGGTCTATTCCTGGTGTCTCCCAGAAACAGACCATTATCTAAGGCCTTGCATACAAATTGTTTATTTTGGAAAATGATCTCAGGGAACTCCAGGAATGGAGGACTAGGAAATGATAGGTAAATGGAAAGAGTCAATACAAGTATGTATCAACCTGTTCCACCTGTGTGGGCAACTGGGTCTCAATCCATTTGGGATCTTTTAAGAAGCCATGTAGAATGAAGTTCAAAATAACCCACCTAAAATCCAGAAGAGGGGAGCATTTTTGAGAGGATTCTTTATCCATAGATTCCTTCTCCCATTGATCAAGAGTTGCCTAATGGGGTAGCAAACCTTTCACAATTTTGAATTTGTTCGTGCTCAGATTCCCAGTGTTTCTCATGGGTGTCCAACCCTAAGGTGTCAGGGAAGCTCCTGGACAGATGACAGGTCCATCTGAGGCAAAGTGATCTAGTATTTCAGTGGCTAAATGCCAATTGCCCTAGTAATGTTTGAAGTAAAAGATGACTAAGAAAATATAAGACATTTCTTTTGGTTTATAAGTTTCAGAGAAATCAGAAGATTCATGTTTATTAGGGAAATCCACCCATTCGTATCTTTGTCACAGGATTCCTCCATCTTTCACACCCAGGTCTCATATTAAGACATATGAGACAAGCCAGCACTGTGCATTTTGCACTTTTATTGTTATTTGCCCTTAAAATTAAATCTTGGGCCAAATTTTCAGAAGGTCCACCACTGCAGATGCAGGAGAAAGGCGTGTTTCTACATGTTGACATAGGACTACCTCGATTTTCACAGCATTCTTTTAATTGACAATTCACTAGCTTGATGGTCTCATGTTTGTATAGCCTTGAGACTCTTTAACAAAAGCCAGTCTACTCACGGTACTTTTAATTATCAGCTGCCCCACATGTGTGTTCAGGTGCCACTGCTCCTGTATAAACCAGTGCTTCAGTTTCCACTTGAACCCCTTTCCAAGCTGCAGCCAGTGTGCATTAGTAGCTATGATGCTACGACATGTGCTTTATTTTCTTCTTGCAACTTAACCCAATCTACCAACAGGGAATATAGTAGTACAGTTGACCCTTGAACAACACGGCTTGGAACTGTGCAGGTCTACCTATATGCAGATTTTTTTAACCAAATGCAATTCAAAAATAAAATATTCATAGGATGGGAAATCTTCACACAAGGAGGGCTGACGTTTTGTACGTGCAAGTTGCTCAGGACCAACTCTAGGTCTTGAATATGTGCAGATTTGGGTGTCTTTAGGGTTTAATTACACAGTGAAGTGTTAGCAAATACCTGTGGCTGAAATTGAGAAATATGTGGTACAACGTGTAGGTAGTACAGTCAACTCACTCCTGAAAAAAGCTGATTGTCATTGCAATGGTCAGAGTGAACACTAAGCTGAAAAAATATAAAGCAGAACACAGAAGATGCCCAATATATCATCCATTCTTCTCTACATTCTTCAAGTAAGATGACATTAAGATAAGTATTACAAATTTTTAGGCTCACTTTGGTAACTTTAAAGCGTTTATTCAAAGGGCAGTTTTCTCAACTTAGTGAATGGCCAAACGCCCTAGATTTTGATACTTTCCAAATTGTGTAACTTTCTAAAGTTATTTCATGGGCCTTAAACTGAGATTAATATAAGAAAACTGAAGGATATGTATGCAGGTTACCTACATTACCTGAATATATAAGTAATGTATAAACTGAAGCACTGGTTTATATAGAAGCAGTGGCACCTGAACGCACATGTGGGGCAGGTGATAATTAAAAGTACCGTGAGTGAACTGGCTTTTGTTAGAGTCTCAAGGCTATACAAACATGAGACAATCAAGCTAGTGAGTTGTCAATTAAAAGAATGCTGTGAAAATCGAGGTACTCCTATGTCAGTATGTAGAAACACCCTTTTCTCCTGCATCTGCAGAGGTGGATCTTCTGAATATATAGGTAATGTAGGTAACCTGCATACGCAGGTAAAATCAGATAGAATTTTAACTATTGAAGTATAATGTTAACAGAATATCATTTAATCACAAATAAAACCAAGAATATTTCCCACAAGGAGAGACCAAATGTTATGTAAAGACCTAAGTAACTTTAACCAGTAGTTAGAGGAAATATTTCATAGAGGAAAGAGAATTAGAAGCTTTTCAGTAGATAAGAGTTGCAAGGTGCTTTACTAAAAGCATCTCCCTTTATTACTCATAAAAGACCTTTTTCTTGGAAATCATTATCTCCCATTATACTTATAAAATAGAGATCTGGATGTATTACACAATGACTGGTGTAGGCAAGATTTAGCTTCCCTGTAATATCCATTGGTTCCTCCAAGTGATTCAAGGTAGGGCTATTCCAAGATTGATTCATTAAGCAGATCAAAGATATCATCAAGAAGCCAGATAGACTTATTGTTTTCCTCTTTTTATAACTCTACAGTGTTTTTTCAAAAATGTAATAAGCCTGTTTTAGTTCCAGTTATTTTATTTTTTCTATTAAAAGATTCAACAGAAAAATAATTCAGGTGACTTTTTCCCCATAATAAAATTGGAAACAAAACAAAACAAAAAGACACTTTCTCCAAATACCACAGTAGTATATTTCTGGTTACATTTCATTGACTAGAACTGGGTTTCATGCCAAAATCTAATCAATTACAGAAAAAAGCACGTTTTCACATTCCCTCAATATTAATCTAAAGAATGTGGCATTGGTTTTGGAACAGAGTATTCCATCAAAGCTGTAAGGCCCTTGAGGAGACCATTAATTAAAACAGGTAGGGCTTTCACTGGAGTATACAGAAAAGTTTAAAGGGCCTTGAGGACATTGTCAGTAGTAGTGTATTAAAGAAGAATAAGACAAATGTTATTGAAAACTGGTAGTAAGGAGAGTTATGCTATAGTACCAGAATTATTTGTGGTAACACGCAAAATAGAACATATACCTTAGAAGTTGATAATCTTGCTAAGGTGATATCTATGCAGAAAGTTGAGCCTACCACCTAAAAGAAGTTTACAAAAAAATGATTAAGGAGAGAGGTGCACTAAAGAGTGAATTACTCTGCATTTGAGTGAAATTTGGAGGACATGTGAAGGGCTCTATTATGTACCAAAGGAAGAGAACAGAAAACTCAGAAATAAAGCCATACTCTTGAAGTCTTAAAGCCACACTCTTGAAGTCTTAACATTTTATAATCCCACCCTGGCCTTCATCTTCACATTAAGGTTCTTTCTTACTTTGAGAACTCTTTGCTGGCTGAAAGGTTATTCTAACCCTGACACACCATTAAATGTTGGGGGCTGGGGGAAAGAGAGATAATTCATCTTTTTAGTTCCCAGGTCTACTGAATAAGAAGAATGATACAGAAAGAATTGTACCAAAGGAGCTCACGCCCATCTGGATCTTATTTAGAAGATGATTTCTGGACTTCAGGCTGATTCGTAATATGATGAGATCTTGAAGGATATGGGAGAAGAGATGAATGTATATTGCATGTGAGGGGAATATAAATTATTTTGGCCAGAGATCATGGAGGAAAATCATATTTTCAAAATATGGGTGCAACAATAGGCCCTGGCCCACGTAATGTTTTATAATGAATCTTTACCACTGTGACATTAATAGGGAAGTTTAATTCCCTTGCACTTGAATTTGGATTGGCCTGTGATCCACTTGTAACCAACAGAATGTGACAGAAATGAGGGTGAGTGTTTTTGAGGCTATGTCATAAAAAGCAATGGAACGTCCGCCTGGCTTACTAGGACATTAACTTTGGAACCCTGAGCTGTCATTAAAAATGTCTTACTTCACTGAAGCTACTCTGTCTTGAGAAAACCCAGATTTGCCCTCACGGAAAGACCACATGAGGATGCACAGAGAGGTGATTAACAAACTCTCCTAACTTCAGAAAAGTTCTAATCCTTGTAATAAATATTTATTGTATATCACTTATAGTAATTCTACTTCTTTGATCAAAATCTGACCAATAAAAACCATTATTCATCTTCTCATGAAACCTCAAAAAATTCAGATATGTAAATTGAACAATGTCTTCATAATTTAAGGCTGTTTCCATTCATTATTTATTCATTGAAAATAAATACTCCTGATACTCCTGTGTGCCTGGTACTTTTATCTGTGCTGGAAATAAAGCCCCGGACTTCATAGAGTTTGCAATCTATTTCTGAATGCTGGAAATAATCAAACAAATATATATATAATATAAGCCCAGGCACTGAAAAGTGCAATAAAGAAGACCAAAACAATAAAGTAGGTTAAGAGAATAGTAAGTTAGGGGCAATCGCAGCACTTTGGGAGGCCGAGGCAGGCGGATCACGAGGTCAGGATATCCAGACCATCCTGGCTAACACGGTGAAACCCCACCTCTACTAAAAATACAAAAAAATTAGCCGGGCGTGGTGGCGGGCGCCTGTAGTCCCAGCTACTCGGGAGGCTGAGGCAGGAGAATGGCGTGAACCCGGGAGGCGGAGCTTGCAGTGAGCAGAGATCGCGCCACTACACTCCAGCCTGGGCGACAGAGCAAGACTCCATCTCAAAAACAAACAAACAAAAAAGTTAGGGGCTAATATTTTAGAGAGTAACTGAGAAGTCTTCTCTGTGGTATCATTTGAAGAAAGTAAAACATATAATAACTTAAATATTGTGGAGGAGCTTTCCGAGAGAAAAAATAAATCCCTGAGTTGTAAGCATGCTTAGGGTACGCAGGGATTAACAGGGAAACAAGAGTAACTTGAACATTATAAAGTGAGAATAAAAGCCAGAGATGACAGTAATTGATGCCAGATTCCACCGGGCTATAGATTATGGCAAAGGTTTTGCATCTCCTTAAAATCTGACAGAAGTCATTGAGGTGTTTTCTTTATGGTATTGACATGAAACAATACTGTTCCAAACAGGAATTGTTGTCAGGAACCAGAGGCAAAGGGTAGAAAAGCAAATAGATTATGTAGAACTATTCCAATAATCCAGGAAACTGTGGAAGGTGGTTTAGACCAAAGTAATGGTCAAAAAGTGAGAAGTGGTCAAAATCTGGATATATTGTTTCATTATAGCATACATATATATGAAGGGTAAGCCAGAAAAGGCTTATCAAGTTTAACTCCAAGGTTTTTGGCCTTGTGAGAAACAAAGAATGAGTAATTTTTTTAACTTTTATTTTAGGTTCAGCAATACATGTGCTGGTTTGTCATATATGTAAATTACATGTCACAGGGATTTGGTGTACAGATTATTTTGCCACACAGGTAATAAGTGTAGCACCCAATAGGTAGTTTTCTGATCCTCCCTCTCCTCCCATCCTCCACCCTCCAGGAGGCCCCAGTTTCTGTTGTTCCCTCTTTGTGTCTATATGTACTCACTATTTAGCTCCCATTTATAAGTGAGAACATGCAGTATTTGATTTTTAATCTTGCATTAGTTGTCTTAAGATAATGGCCTCCTGCTCCATCCATGTTGCTGCAAAGGACATAATCTTATTTATTTTATGGCTGTGTAGTATGCCATGGTGTATATGTGCCATATTTTCCTCATCCATTCTACCATTGATGGGCAATTAGGCTGATTCCATGTCTGTGCTATTGTGATTAGTGCTGTGGTGGTCATATGCGTGCATGTGTCTTTATGATGAAACAATGTATATTCTTTTGGTTATATACCCAGTAATGTGATTGCTGGGTCAAATGGTAATTCTGTTTAAGATCTTTGAGAAATCTTCAAACTGCTTGCATAATGGCTGGACTAATTGAAAGAGAATGAGTAAGTTTAGGAAGAGAGGAATTACTGAATGATGTGAAGTGAGATGAGAATATTAATAATGGGGGAGTTTTCAGGAAGATAAATCAAGAGTCCAGTTTTGAATATATTATGCCTGAGATGTCTACTATACTTCCATGGGAAGATATCAAGCAAGCAATTGAATATTTATGCTTGGATTTCTGGAATACTTTGGCTTTGGAAATTTTTTAAAACCTGAATTTAAATTTACTGCACTTGTATAGTCTATCTAGGAAATTAAGAATAGACAGGCAAGAAAAAAAAAAAAAAGAGTCTCCAGGACTGAGCTCTGCAGTACTCAAGAACTAGAAATTGAGGAAAGGAAGCACATCGGTCACGGAACCCTGAAAGCACAGCAAGCGAGAAAATAAGTATTAGGAAATTTTTTCAAACTAGCTGAATAATGTGTTTCAGGTATAAAGGGATTATCAATAGATCAACAGAAGTAATATCAATAAACATACGAAAATATTTTCAGAAGAGACATCGGCACATAAAATTTTTGAAACAGATTATACTGAAAAAAATTAACCCAATGAATAAAAGATAATGAAATGGAATAAAGCACCTGATACTAAAATTTGCTATTGATGCAATTATTGGTTAATACTAGTAGTGATTGAGTCAAAGTATAAGACAAGATTTTTGAAAGTGAACAACTGAGATATCTATCAGCAACCAAAGGCATAGTAATTGATATATTTTTAATTTGTCAACATTATATTTATCAACTTGTCCAAATTTAATCAACAGCAGAGAAGATAAACTTTAGTGGAATATTTATAGTTTGATATACACTAAAGCCAAATGCTGAGAAGAAAAACATGTAAAATGCCTTTTTTTTAAAAAAAAGAAACTTTTATTCTTTTTGGGAAGAGGTTGAAGAGATGTGCAGAAGAAATTTTAAAGAAAGAAGAAGAGGAAATTGATAGTTTGGCATTTTAATTCTCTGTTTTTAATGATCCATTTTAATGATGTCTAGCAAATTTTATTATGGTTTATATTCGTAAGTTATCTCTTCAAATAAGTTACACACAATTCAGCACTTCTTTACTAATTGGATAGTATTATTGATAAAAAGCGAGAAAAATGTATTTGAAACCATAGCCATTAACAAAGAGTTGATCATATGTGTATTGTTAATATACCTTTTTAAACACTTCAGTATAATTTGTTAAAACATGATTAACATATAATTCACCAATTTATATTCATCAGTTTTATATATTTCAGTTTTTTAATTCATTAATCTCTTATTTTTAACTTTTTAGTGTTGTGTTAATAAATGTGTTGGCAGTGGAAAAATATTAATATTTCTAAACTTTTTATTATAGCATACAATTTTGCATTTGTGATAAGGACGTCTATTACAGCTCTCAAAATATTTACTTTTGAATGTCTTGTTCAAACAGAGTAATAGTATGCACTGTGTTTGTATATTATACAGGTTAACACATGTTATATTAACTCAAAATCACAGATATATTTTGAGCAGTTGTGTCTAAATCAAAGAGAAATCATACTATACTTTACCCATAATGAGGTTTCTATTTTAGTAGCAGTGACTATAAAAGTGACTATTTTTACTTTCTGAAAAAAATGGAAATAACTTAAATATTGGAATATTTTATATAGTAAGTAGTTATATAACAAACACGGTAAAATTAGAGAAAAATCATTACTCAGTTACTACTGTAAAAAAGAAATTTGCCTCAATTACTTTAATTAGTTTTTCACATGAGAATTATGGCTAACATGGGATGTTTGGACTATGTAGGTAGCACAGGAGATATAGGTCTTAAAATACGCAGTGCCAGATGCTAGACTGTAGAAAACTCGTGCAGTAATCAGGTATGCAGAATTGCAAGCAATGTTTTAGCTCTTATCAATGCCTAGATAAAATGAGTGTTCTCACATGTCAGAAATATGCTTGACAATGCAGTGCATACAAGTTTATATGCATCATACTTTCTTTTTCCCATATGAATTGTGAAGAATTTATCAGAAATCATGTATGGAGGCCCATAATACAAGCTGTAAACACGTCTGTGTGAGGTAAAAAAAATCAATAAATCCCTCATTATGAGCATATATGACACATCAGATCCTAAAGACTCTGGTGTTTCTACTCACAGTAAAATTGTCTGAATAAAGAAGTATTTGGGCTGGGCACGGTGGCTCATGCCTGTAATCCCAGCACTTTGGGATGCCAAGGTGGGCGGATCACCTGAGGTTGGGAGTTCCAGACCAGCTTGACCAACATGATGAAACCCCGTCTCTACTAAAAATACAAAATTAGGTGGGTGTGGTGGCGCATGCCTGTAATCCCAGCTACTCAGGAGGCTGAGGCAGGAGAATCGCTTGAACCTGGGAGGCAGAGGTTGTGGTGAGCCGAGATCGCACCACTGCACTCCAGCCTAGGCAACAAGAGTGAAAAGAGAAAGAGAGAAAGAGAGAGAGAGAGAGAGGGAGAGAGGAAGGAAGGAAGGAAGGAAGGAAGGAAGGAAGGAAGGAAGGAAGGAAGGAAGGAAGGAAGGAAGGAAGGAAGGAATTCCAAGGATAAAACTTCAAATATTTACCATAATTCTTTACACGTTGCAAAATAATCTAATTACAATTAAGTTACTCAACAGACTATTTACTTTATTTGAATTGTTACTTTGTTTCTCTTATTTTCAAATTAATATTTCAAACCAAGATTAAGTTAATGTTGAGACTAATTAATTGGTCCTGTTCACATTCATATATGATAAAAAGAATCCTAGTGGAAGCCAAACAAAATGTAAAATGAAAGAAATAAGACTGGCAGAAACTTTAATGTCAAAAATCATTACATTTGCACAGAAACCTGTGAATTTTTGGCCAAAGTTCAGAAAAAAAAAAACAACTTTTCTAAATGGTCAATAATACTAATAAGAATGAAGACCAACCCATTAGAAAAAAAAAAAAAAAAACCATCCCCCTTACTTTTTCCTCAAAAACAATACTACAAATTTCTTGACATATAAAGAAGTGAAGAGTGAGTACACAGCCAAAAATGTACAGAAAAAATATATTACAGATTTGTGTTGGTAGTTAATTAGTAAAAATACTGTATTCTTTTATTCTGAATTGGTAACGTTTGTGCCATGTGCCACTTCACTGAAGCAGTCTGTAATCTGTTGTAGTATGTTTTGTCACTTTAAATGAATCAAACAGAATTTTAATTCATGGATTTATATCATTAAATCATATGAACTTCAAGGCCTCATGCACGGAAGGGGCCTGACATCATGGAATTAAAGCTCATCATCAGTTCTGGGTCCTCATTTTACTTGATCTCTCAGCAGCATTTGCTCTGCTGATGACACATTTCTCCTGGATATACTCTCTCCATTTGGCTTTGAGGCACAATACTCTCATGGTTTTCTTCCAACCATAGTCATAATACTTTTATTTCTGTATTTAGACCCAATTCTTAGAGATTTTGTCCAGTCCTAGGACTGGATCAATATCATCAAAATGCCGCACAGTTGTTATTTTGGAATACCCAAAATTTCATTACCAGCCAGACCTCTCCATGATCTCCAGGCTTCTATACACCACTTCCTACTCTACATTTCTATGTGGGCACCTACTCGACATCACAAACATAACATATCTGAAACTGAATTCCTGATCTTTTCACCAAAACCCACTCCTTTTACAGACATCCAGTCTCAGGTAATGGCACCTCCTCACTTGTTCTTCCTGCCCTTGTCTTTGCATCATCTGTGATTTTTTGCAGTCTCTCTAAAATGTCAGGCATACTTCTTCCTCAAAATAATGGAATTTGCACTGCCTGTGCTTGGAATATTCTTCCTCCAAATATAGACGTGAATTAAAGCCTTATGATTAAAATCTTTGCTCATTCAAATGCTACCTTCTCAATGGAGTCTACCTTACCTATTTAAAATCGAACCTTCTATGTCAACAGTACTTAAACCTTTCTCATGACTTATTTTTTCTACCTAACAAGCAAATTATAGATTATATTTATGTATTTTGTTATGGTACTTTTTGTGCATATAAATAAATATGTATATATTTAGAAGTAATGAATATATCTACATATATCTCATCCATATCTATATACACACACATAACATGTGTGTTTCTCTTCTCATTAGAAGAAAGTCAAAATTTTTGCTTTGATTGTTGTGTTAATTACTGACTTCCCTGTAGAGTAATTCCTTATACCTTGTACACATGACTCCCTAAATAAGTAAGTTTTGAACTGATGTTGAATGCATTTAAAATATTCTTCATATATTTATTTCCCTAAAGTTTGATTTTTTCATTATACATCCTTATTCTAAAGATATGTCACTTAACGTTCAAAAGATTTCAAAAAAAGGAGCCACTTAACACATCTATAATGAATGAATCATTGTAAATAATGTATTCCAATTATTCACATGGCGTGATGTTGATAAATTCTCTAAAATTATGCCTACACAATTTCTTTTTAATAAAACTAAATAGCAGCAGTAGAAATATTTTTCAATCATATAATAACATGCACCATACAATTTCTCTTTGTATGCCACATATTAACAAATTTATGACCGTATCATCTGCAGCAAGATAATTACAACTCTGGGGTGCTCAGTATGTAACTAAGAAGAGTTTCTTGTTATCCCTGAATGAAAGACCATCTAAGAGATTGCGTAACTAGGGCTGATGCAGTATTACAGATCCAACTCAGACTTATTTCAATGATTGTCATAGAATACAGTTACTGGAACACAAGAGAAAATTTATAATAGATTTTTTCCTTATATTATATACTTATAAAATAGTTATTAAGTACACTTACCATTATATCCCTGCTTACTTTAACATCTCAAATAATATACCCATCTCTCTAGGCAAGATATTCTCAAGGACAAGTGTATTTGATTTGTTTTAGTTCATGAATTAATTTCTCCATTTGAAAATTATTCTAATGTTTTATTCCAAAATGTTATTTCCTAATAGTCACCTTTAAAATCATTATTTAATTAACAAAAATTTTCTTAATACTTCCTTCCAGAAACTATTTTTTATTCATCTAAATTTTCAGGTTACTTTTCATTAATGTCTTATTTTTATCTTCTTTTTTTAGCAGAAATGTAATATAAATTTTTGTTTTGAAGGCATACTTTATGGAAAAATGCCAAAAAAGAAGGAAACAGGCCGGGCACAGTGTCTCACGCCTGTAATCCCAGCACTTTGGGAGGCAGAGGCGGGCAGATCACGAGGTCAAGAGATAAGAGACTATCCTGGCCAACACGGTGAAACCCCGTCTCTACTAAAAATACACAAATTAGCCGGGCGTGGTGGCACGTGCCTGTACTCCCAGCTACTCGGGAGGCTGAGGCAGGAGAATCACTTGAACTTGAACCCGGGAGGCAGAGGTTGCAGTGAGCCAAGATAGCGCCACTGCACTCCAGCCTGGCGACAGAGCAAGACTCCATCTCAAAAAAAAAAAAAAAAAAAAAAAAAAGGCCGGGCGTGGTGGCTCACGCCTGTAATCCCAACACTTTGGGAGGCCAAGGCGGGTGGATCACCTGAGGTCGGGAGTTGGAGACCAGCCTGACCAACATGGAGAAACCCCGTCTCTACTAAAAATACAAATACAGTTAGCTGGGTGTGGCAGCTCATGCCTGTAATCCCAGCTACTTGGGAGGCTGAGGCAGGAGAAGCGTTTGAACCCGGGAGGCGGAGGTTGCAGTGAGCAGAGATCGCTCCACTGCATATCAGCCTGGGTGACAGAGCAAGACTTCGTCTCAAAAAAAAGAAAGAAAGAAAGAAAGAAAGAAAAAGAAAAAAGAAAAAAAAGAATGAAACGCCTAAAGTGGTATGATATTGGGAGAGACCAAAACATAATAAACTTTAACTATTACAGATTTTTTTCAATAACATACATTATCTCTGCTTGTAGTTTGTCCAGTTTTGTAATGAAGTTTATCATATACTAATAAAATTAATCAATTTTCTTTTTTTTTCTATTTCCAGAACTACTTACATAAAACAGGGCATATTCATACTTCAGAATCTTGTTAAACACATCCATTATATTGCCTGGGCTCAAATATTTTTGAACATTATTCTGATTTCTCTAATGTTTATGAGATTATTCAAGTTTTTTATATTTTCTTTACCAATTCAAGCTTTTTGTGTTTTTTCAAACAAATACATATCTTCTCTAACTCTCCAAATTTGTTGGGGCATTAATATTCATAATATTTATTATGTTTTAATCTCTTATGGCTGTAGTTATTTTCCACCTTCTTTTAACATTTTTTATCTGAAACATCTTTTTCCCTAATAATTCTTGTTAAATATTATTTAAATTACTAATATATTTTGAAGTACTATCTTCCAATTCTATTAATCTTTTTAGCTATTTATTTCATTTATATCTAATATTTTGATTATTGCATTTTTCCTGCTTGCACTTTTGCTTTTTTCAACTTTTAATTTTAATATTTTAGTTTACTGACTCAAGTTTTTTCTTTTATATAAATATAAATTTATTTTTTCTTTGAGATGTAGCTGTGTATATTTAGTTACCTATTAATGATATTGTACCCTTTGGTTGACAAATTAACCCAAAATTTGTGGGTAAAACCACAAACATTATCCTAGAGTTTCTATGGATTAGAAATCTTGTGTAGCTTAGCTGGCTGAAAGTCTCTCATAAGATTGAAGTCACGCTGTTGGCTGGGCCCGCTGTCTCCTCTGAAGGCATTAACAGGAAGAATCTGTTGTGAAGTCTACTAACATAGTTGTTAGCAGAATTAGTACAACTAAGATAGTTATAGCAAGGTCCTCAGTTCCTTGCTACGTTTCCCTCTCTCTAGGGCAACATACGGTATGATAATTTGTCTCTGCAGACCAAGCGGTGAGAGAGAGCAAGTAAGATAAAAGCCAGGATCTTTTTTAACTTAATATCAGAAATAATATCACTTTGCCGTATCTTATTACTAAAAAATGTGTCCCTGGCTCTAGCCCACACTCAAAGATAGGGGATTACCCATGTCATGAACACGAGGAGGTAGGGACCACTGGGAGTCTTTTTTGAAACCCTACCACACAATGTTTTATTAATTTTGACATATTTTCTTCAATTGACACTCCACCCTAAGTATCTTATACTTTGCCCAAGGATTATTTTTCTTTATCTCAAGAATAATTTGTTTATATTTTTATTTAAATTCTGGATATATAGAATTTTTAAAGCTATTAAAAGTTTATTATTCCTGAATTCCTTACTGTATAAACTATGAATTCCTGACCTCACAATTTTTTATGGTTGACACTCTTCATTCCTTTGTTTCTCTTTCATTCAGCATATGTCTCCATATGGCATTTATACTGATTAAATATATTTTATACTGTTTTATCTGATAGATTTATGTGATATTATATACCTCCTTCTTTTAAAATGATTCTAATAAATCTATACTATTGCAATAAAGTTAAATAACTCTTTATAATCTCTAACCATTGAACACTTTGAAAGAGAAACCCTTACAAAATGCTTCAATAGTTTCAAATTGCCTTGTGTAATAGGGGATGATTTAAAGTTACTGAAGCACTGTATGTCTTTTAAATATTTCAGTTTAGAATTGAATAAAAGAGTATTTGAGAATGTATTCATTACTGAGCAAATATTACATAAATAATTTCAGATGTGGTCCTGGAGCCTAAACAAAAAAGCAAAGAATAAATAAAAAATTTAATATGAATCAGAAATAAACTTCAAAATACTTTTTGCTAATATATGTGGTTATAGAATAAATGTATTCCTATTTTGAAAATTTACCTAACATTTTCTATAATAAAGAGAATTTTCTAGTCATCCAGTATTGGAGAAAAAATACTTTTTTTTATCAGTTCTTCCAATTTTTCCTGAAAATGTGTATTGCCATATCATTAAGAATGAAAATGGGTTAGATGTGTATAACACTCTAATTTCTAATGAAAAGTTATGGCATTTACATTTAAATGCATGAAACAGTTCTTAAAAATCAAGCAATAATAAGCGTTATCTTCAGTTGTGAAGTAGCTTGGGATGGATTCAATTTGGATTGAAGACTAGACTAAACCACACAAAAGAAGTTGAATTTAGAAAATTTTCACTTCAACTGGCCAAAGTTGGCAGGCCCTACTGAAACTCTGTATCCAAAGAAAAGCACTTCAGAGATTTTTAAAATGCTTCCTACAGATTTAATTATAATAGTTTCCAAATACCAATTTTCCACTTATTCTAAGCATTACTTTGTGCAGCATTGCATACATTTTTCTAAAAGAAAAAATTCTGTGGATTTTTTAATGTAAACATGCTATGTTTTCTGTGAAAAATGGTAAATTGAGCATATCTGTTATCTTCACCCTTTCTGAAATGCTACTAAAATGATTTGTGTGCAATTGCAATAAATACTGGGAAATCCTGTGAATCTTTTACCCAGTTTTCCCTAGTTCTAACATTTTGCAAAATTCTAGATTACAATACCACAACCAGGATATTGACATTGATAAAATAATCATAATGTTTGCTTCCTTTACACAACGTTTCCTCCTATTGCCTTTTATAGCCACATCACTTCTCTCCTATTTCCATACCTAACAAATCTGTACTCCAATTACAAGATTTTGTCATTTCAAGAATGTTATATAAATGGAATCATACACTGTTTAACCTTTGGGACTATCTTCTATTACTCAGCATAATTCTCTAGCAATGTATCCAGGTTGTTATCAATATTCTATTGATTTTTGTTGTTGAGTAGTATTTCATGATATGGATTGACCACAATCACTTATTGAGGAACATCTGGGTGTTTTCTAATATAAATCTATTATGAATACAGCTGCTATAAACAATTATGTACAGGGTTTTGTAGGAACATAAATCTTTTCTTGATAATTTGTCTTTTTATGTCAATAGAAACCTTTTATTTTTTTTTTGCAGAGCAATAGATTTTAATGTTGAAATTCAATTCATCTTTTATTTTGTCCATATTATGGATGCTTTTAGTGTCAATTGTAAGATCTCTTTGCCTATACCTAAATTTTGAAAATTTTTCTCCAATGTTTTCTTCTAAAACTTTATAGATTTACATTTTATATTTAAATACATCATCTATTTGACCATTTTTATGCCAGGTAGGAAATTAGCCCAAGTTTTGTTTGTTTGTTTGTTTGTTTGTTTGTTTTTGTTTTGTCTTTCCTATGGATATCCCATTGCTCTAGCCCCATTTGTTGAAAATGCTTTCTCCCATTCAATTGTGTTTGCATGTATAGCAAAAATGAGCTGGGTGTATTTGCGTGGATCTATTTCTATTATCTGTCATATTTCAGTGATCTATATGTCTATTTCTTCATCAATATCACACAGTCTTAGTGTAACTTTATAATAAATTTTGAAATTCAGGACAGTCACAGTGGCTCACGTCTGTAATCCTCGCACTTTGGGAGGCCGAGGCAGGTGGATTACTTGAGGCCAGGAATTCAAGACCAGCCTGACCAACATGGCAAAACCCTATCTCTACTAACAATATAAAAATTAGCCAGGTGTTGTGGTGCACGCCTGCAATCCCACCTACTATGATGGCTGAGGCACAAGAATTGCTTGAACCTGGGAGACAGAAGTATCAGTGAGTCGAGGTCTTGTCACTGCACTCCAGCATGGGCAACAAAGCAATCTCAAAAAAAAAAAAAAAAAAAAAAATTTAAATTGAAACTGATTCCTTCCACTTTATCTGCTATTTCAAAGTGGTTTTAGATTTAAAAATTCATTTTCATTTGCATATAAATTGTAGAAT
Organism: Homo sapiens; assembly: GCF_000001405.40. Taxonomy (NCBI): domain Eukaryota; kingdom Metazoa; phylum Chordata; class Mammalia; order Primates; family Hominidae; genus Homo; species Homo sapiens. Next base: position 83,582,530 of record NC_000013.11, read on the forward strand.
GATGTTCTCCATGTATACCGTAATTTTCTGAGATTTTGCTGGGAATTATGTTAAACACACATCAATTTGGAGAGAATTTAGATCTTTACTATGCTGAGTCTTTCAATCCATGAACACAGTATGCCTCTTCCATTACTTAGCTATTTTTTCCATTTCTTTTATCAGCATTATGCAGTTTTCAGCATAAAAGTCCTGTAAATGTTTGCTAAATTCACATATAAGCATTTCATTATTTTTAAGTGACTGTAAATTTTATTATATATCTAACTTTATTGTCTATGTATCCACTGAGAGTATAGAGAATGTGTGTCTTGTTTCCTGTGACCTTGATCAAGTAACAGTAACTTATGAATTCCAGAAGGTTTTTTGCTTGTTTATTTTCACCTTATATTACTTAAGATTTTCTACATAGACAATCATGTTATCTATGGATAAAACAGTTTTATCTCTTCTTTCCGTGTGTGTGTGTGTGTGTATATGCATATGTTTTAGGTTATTTCCATATACATATATATGCATTTTAATTTTGTTTCCTGTATTATAGCACTTATTAGAATTTCCAGCATTATTTTAAACATCAAGATGGAAATGAAGTCTAAGCCTTATTCTTGATCTTTATGGGAAAGCATTCAGTCTTTGACCATTGCTATGATATTAACTACAGTGGTTTTCATTTGTTTGCTTTGGGTTGGATTTGGTTTTAGTAGATACTATTTATCAGATTGAAGAACTGGTTCTCTATTCCTATTTTTTATGTTTGTCATTAATGGGTCTTTAGTTAATTATGCTAAATGCTTTTTCTGCAACAATTGATATCATTATGTGCATTTCTTCTTCATTATGTTAATATGATGTGTTACTTTAATTCATTTTTGAATACTGAGCCATCTTTGTGTCTCTTAAGTAAACTTCACTTGGCTCCACTTGATTACAGTACATACTTAATTTGATATATTGCTGAATTGTATTTGCTAAAATTTTGCTAAAGACTTTTGCATCTGTCTATGCATGAGGGGTACTGTTGTGCAATTTTCTTCTATAGGAGTGTCTTTATCTGGTTTTTCTATCAGGATAATGCAAAGCCTATAAAATTCATTGGAAAATGATTCTTATTTTTTCTGGAAGAAATTGCATACAATTTTGATTAATTTTTCTTTAAATATTTGATAACTTCGGTGAAACTATTTGGACCTAGAGATTTCTTTCTGGTCCCCAAATTCAATTTTATTAATAGTTATAGAGCTAGAAAAATTATTTATTCTGGGTGATGTATAGTAGCTTTTGTTTACATCTAAATTATCAACTGTATGTGTTTAGAATTGTTCGTGTATTCTCCTATTATCTTAGTGATATCTGTAAGGTATGTAGTGATAGTTGCTATTTCATTCTTGATATTTTTAATTTCTGTCTTACCTCTGTTCTATCTTCTTGCTAGAGATGTGTCAATTTCATTATATTTTTCCAGATGAATTACCTCTGTAAATGATTTTCCATATCATTTTTTTCTGTTTTTAATTCATCTCTGTTTTATTCTTTATTATCTCCTTTCTGCTTGCTTTGGATTCATTTTATATTTTATCTAGGTTATCAAGAAAGGAGCTTAAATTATTAAATTAATGGTTTTCTTTCTTCATAATGTATGGACTTCATCCTATAATTTTTTTTCAAATCTGCTTTAGCTGTGTCACACAAATTTCGATATGTAATATTTTAACTTTTATTCAGTTTATTTTTTTTCTAATTTCCCTCATGACATGCTGTTTGATCAGTAGACTATTTAGAGGTGTGATAGGTGGCTTTAAAATGTTTTTATATTCTACTGCTATCTTTATGTTATAGATTTCTTATTAATTCCATTTAATTCAGAAAACACAACCTATAAAATTTCCATCTTTTTTCATATAGGTTTATTTTCTGACTCGAGATATGGTCTATTGATTTATCCTCTGTGAGTTCTTGTAAAAGATTCATTTTATGTTATTGAATAAATTGTGTTGATTAAATTATATTGGTTGATGGTGTTAATTCTCCTGTGTCTATGCTTATGTTACTGGTAGGTCCTTGTTCCCAGAGTTCCCAAAATGGTGGCAGGCTGCTTCCAAAATGGCAGTGGGCCACTTCCAAGATGATGGCAAGCCTCGTGTTCTCTGACCTGGGGTTCTTGGCCCCACGGATTTCAAGGAATGGAGTCTTGGGCCATGTGGTGAGTGTTATAGCTCCATTAGAAGCTGTGGGTCATGGAAGAGAACCATGGAACCCAGTGACTAGTGTTTAGCTCGATTAGGACACTTAGCCGTGCAGGAACAATGGCAAATCTTTAGCGGGATCGGGTGCAGCAATGGGCGTCTTGCTGGATCAGGAGCACAGCAGACACCCTGCTGGATCCTGAGGGATGGAAGTCAACTGGCGGGTCTGTGACGGGGCAAACAGCAGTGGTCGACAGGGAGCGAAAGCTCAGCTCCAGCCATAACAAACACGGACCAGAAGAGAGTGCAGTTGCAAGATTTAATAGAGTAAAAACACATTTAGTAGAGTGAAAAGGGATGGGACCCAAAGAGGGTAGCCCGTTGCCAGCTCGAATGCCTGGGTTTATATCCTGATCATTGTCCCTCCCGCTGTGCTCTCAGGCGATAGATGATTGGCTATTTCTTTACCTACTGTTTTTGTCTAATTAGCATTTTAGTGAGCTCTCTTCTCTACCTGATTGGTCAGGTGTGAGCTAAGTTGCAAGCCCTGTGTTTAAAAGTGGATGCAGTCACCTTCCCAGCTAGGCTTAGGGATTCTTAGTCGGCCTAGGAAATCTAGCTAGTCCTGTCTCTCACTTATGTTCTATAGAGTTGTTTTATCAACTGATGGGAGGGTTGTTGAAGTCTCCAAATATAATTGTGATATATCTGTTTCTCCTTTCAGATTTATCAGCTTTTGCTTTTCAAAGTTTGCTCCTTTGCTTTTTCATCCATACACATTTATGATGGCCATGACTTCTTAGTGGATTGACCATTTGACTGTTATGTAAACTCTCTGTCTCTGGTAATTTTCTTTGTTATGAAGTCTACTTATCTGAAATTAATATAGTCACCCCAGCTTTTTATTTATATTTTTATGATACATTTTTATTCCTTTAATTTGCCTATATTTTTATAGTTAGACTAAGTTTCTTATGGACAATAATCCATTTTGATATTTCTGTCTATTAATTGGTATGCCAGGGCTTAAGTCCAATATTTTATTTATTTATTTATTTATTTTTGCCTGCTCCTTCTATTTTTTTGTTTTGTCTCTGACTTTTCCTGCACCTCTTTGGACTACTTGAACCTGTTTTGAAATATCACTTTAGTTAGTGAATAGTTTTGAAGTGTATATATTTGTATAGCATTTTTAGTGGTTTCTCAAGGTATTATATTTTAAATATACCACTTACCATAGTCTAGTGGAGTCATGTTTTTATCAGTTCAAGTGAAGCAGAGAAATCTCACCACAGTTGATATCCATTTGCCTTGTAAATTTATAATATAATGTTCTTAACATTTTTCTATATACTTTTGGAACACTATAATCAGACAGGGTTACAATTTTGGCTTCAAATGTCAAATATAATTCAGAAAATTTAAGAAAGAAAGCCTTTTTTATTTAATTACATTTTTCTTACCATCTTATTTCCTCCTTTATAATATTCTAAGGTTCTTTCTGGTTTTTTGTCCCTCTGTGTAGAAAACTTCCTGTAGCGATTCTTGTAGTACAAGTCTGCAGGTGACAATACTTCTACAAAAATTGTGAGTTTCTCAATTTTCATCTCATTTTTGAATAATAATTTTCTTGGATATACAATTTTGGGGCCAGGCACGGTGCCTCATGCCTGTAATCTCAGCACTTTGGGAGGCCAATGGCAACAGATCAGGAGGTCAGGAAATGGAGACCATCCTAGCTAACGGTGAAACCCCGTCTCTACTGAAAATACAAAAAATTAGCCGGGCATGGTGTTGGGCGCCTGTAGTCCCAGGTGCTTGGGAGGCTGAGGCAGGAGAACAGCATGAACCCGGGAGGCGGAGCTTGCAGTGAGCTGAGATCTTGCCACTGCACTCCAGCCTGGGCGACAGAGTAAGACTCCGTCTCAAAAAAAAAAAAAAAAAAAATTTTTGGTTTGACAGTACTTCTCTTTCAGTACTTGAAAGATATTGTGTCACTTCTTTCTGGTCTTCATATTTTCTGATAAGAAATATGCCATCATTAAAAAAATTTTCCTATAGAAAACATGTCCCTATTCTCTGGCTGCTTGAAAGATTATTACTTTGTCTTTAAGTTTATAATATGTAATTGGGATATCTTGGCAATATTATTTTCAGGATATCCTGCTTCAAGTTCTCTAAATTTATTGAAATTGTAAGTTTGTCTCATATAAAATTTGAGAAGTTTTCAGCCATTATTTCTTCAAATAATTTTTCATCCTCATCCACTTTATATTCTCTACCCAGGACTCCCATGGCACAAATTATGGATTTTTCATTATCGAGTCAGAGATCCCTGGGGCAAATTTTTTCATGTCTGTTCAGATTACATAATTTGTACTGCTCCAGCTTCCAATTTGCCGATTGTTTCCTCTTTATAATCTGTACTACGTTTGAGCCCATCACCTTAGCTTCTTACTTTTATTATTGAATTTTTTAAATCTACAATTTTCATTTGAATATTCTTTATATTTTCTTTTTCTTGGCAGAAACTTTCTGTTTTTTTGCTAAGATTTTCTATTTTTTTCATTTGTTTTGATCATGTTTGTACACATCATTGAAACATTTTTATCATGACTACTTTAATTTTTTTATAGTTTATAAAGTATTTCTTATCTCAAAATTCTCAGAAGAGAGGATTTTGAATGTTACTACCACACAAAAATAATAAGTGTATGTGGTGATGGACATACTAAATACCCTGATTTAACATTGCACCACATATACACGTATTGAAACATCACATCGCATTCCATAAATATGTACAATTACTGTCTCATTTAAAATGCAAACAGTAAAAATAAATAAAAACAAAAGGCTGTTAACTGCATCATGCAGAACAGCCATTGTTCATAATGTTGTGTTTATTTCTGTTTGTTAATTTAATATACACACTTTAACATTTAATCATATTTTTTACTGGGAGAACCCTGCCTACTCTCTTTTAGAAATGATCAAATTTTTTCTGTGCCTGGCTTATTTCATTCAAAATAATCTCCTCTAGCTTCATCCATGTTGTTGCAAATGACCAGATTTCATTTTTTAATAGTTGGATGATATTTCATAGTGTATATTTGCCACATCTTTTTAATCTATTCATCAACTGATGGATGCATAGGTTGATTCCATATCTGAGCTATTGTGAATAGTGCTCCAGTAAACATGGCAGTTCAGATATCTCTTCCATATACACATTTTATTTCTTTTGAATATTTAGTAGCTTGTTGCTAATACACAGAAATAATAAATGCTTGAGGTGAGTTGATCATTACGCACTGTATGCTTGTATCAAAATATCACATGTATTCCATAAATACATGCAACTATTATGTATCCCTAATAATCAAACATTAATTTTAAAAAATATATGAACAATTTTTCATATTATAAAATATTCCTCAAAATAATATTGTTATTGTTTTTATAATGTCCCTTTTGTATTCCATAACAATTAATTTACCTGATTTTGGACATTTAGGTTATTTCTTTATTTTGTGTTTAAGTAATTCTATTATGAACATTTTTGCACATAGTGTTAATGGTCTTTGTGTATTGCTCTGATTATTTTATTGATATAAATGTCTACTTCACTGATCAAATTTTGTCTGACATAAATTAATAAACATTTAATGACTTGTTATGAAATTTCCCTTTCTTAACTCTGTGTATCTTTGTTTTACACATTATTTATAAATGATTCTAAAAGTGACAATATTTTGATGTATCATATTCAGTTTAAAACGCCTTTTCTATCATCAGATATTTCTAGTTACAAATGCAATAAAATGTGTCATTTTAATTTGTTTTAATATAATGGAAACTAAAAATATTAATTTTAATTCCTGAGTGAATTTTGTGATGAAATAACAATGCTTTGATAAACCAAGATTAGAATAAAATCTTAAACATAGTTGTGTAATTGCTGGCCAATTACTGCAGTTTTATTTTTTCAAGGGGAAATAAATACCCTAAAACTATCTAATTGTAAAATGTCAAAGCAAAATGAAACCAAATACAGCTTTTGTGTGATGATGAAAGCTTTAAAACTCCTTCCTCAATTGTGATAATTTGGAACAAATTAGGGAGTCTTGCAGTGAGCAATAGTCTAGTCACAGAGTTTTAAGAACACTAAATCAATTTGCAGAGAAACTTGCTGAGTAGGACTCTCCAATTTAAGAGTGTTTGGTTGGCTGGGCACAGTGGCTCATGCCTGTAATCCCAGCACTTCGGGAGGCCAAGGCGGGTGGATCACCAGGTCAGGAGATCAAGACCATCCTGGCCAGCATCGTGAAATCCCGTCTCTACTAAAAATACAAAAATTAGCTGGACATGGTGGTGCATGCCTGTAGTCTCAGCTACTCAGGAAGCTGAGGCAGGAGAATTCTTGAACCAGGGAGTCAGAGAATCGCTTGAACCGAGTTGGGGTTCAAGGGAGTTGGAGGTTGCAGTGAGCCGAGATTGCGCTACTGCTCTCTAGCCTGGCGACAGAGCAGGACTCTGTCTCGAAAAAAAAAAAAAAGTGTTTAGTTAAAAGAAGGTCAGCCTAAAATGACTGGTTTTATCTTCCTAATAATACTTACTAGAACAGCTATCCTTGCTCTTGTGAATATTATCATTGGAATTTTATTTTTAATGCATAAAATGTATAGATTGATATTATGGTATAATTGTAAAATTAACCATTTCTAAATTTTCTCTGTTAATATGGTACTATTTTGCATTTCTTCAGTTTATTTCCAATATACTTGTGAGATGCTTGTATTTGGAGTGCCCTTGATCCGCACTATGTTGTATTTTCAATAACAACAGGCATTTGATGGCTGTAACTCACTGGAGTTCAATAAAGGGTCAAGGAATCCAGTGACAACCATAGCAGATGGGATTCCCACAGCAAAAGCAAGTCTAACATGAGGAGATATCTTACAAAAAATGCTGTCCTCACAGATAGCAGGAAGTTCTGTTGGTTAATATCCCAAAAGAGACTTGCTTTAAAGACTTGGATTTCTGTAAAATTACTTTGGTAACATATATCATTGCTGACTTTTTTATTTGACCTGATGATGTTAAAATAAGCTATTTACTGTATTGCAGGCAACCGAATATAATTTGCTAATTAAACACATTTATAAAGTTATTGTCATTTCTGTTATTAATAAACCATAAAAACAAATAAGTAGCTACTTAAAAATAGAATAAAGCTTTAAAGTAATACAAAAGAAAGGGTATTAACAGAGAATTAAGCAAATTAATGCAAAGTAAGCATTTTTTAAATTGTAGCTTCAAGTCTCAAATTAGCTGATGATTATTTTTTCTTAAAAGGTCAGTTCCTCATGGTATTCCATGACTCAAAAAAAAAAAAAAAAAAAAGTTCTTAGATTCACTAGTTAAAAAGGGAGAAAAGAACTTTGCATTAGCAAAAGTAATCTCTATTTATCAAACAAAGATATTTTCCCCTTTTCCTGTGTGAAAGGAATGCTCTTTTTGTGGTCAGTGCCAGTTTTGAGTTTAGTCATTTTGAGTTATTGGTGCAGTTTTGATCAATACTGAATTCATTGTTGTTGGAAACCCAAAGGAGAATATTTTGGGAATATCAAGCCATTTATTATTGTTGTTGTTGTTATATACCACAAAAGAATAAACATTCAAACATGTTTTTAAGCATGTAGCTTTTGAACTTGGAAAATTATAGTATCCCAGTACTTTTTATTTAATGCCTTTATAAATTAATCATCTGATCTTAATTATATAAATTTCTATATACACAAGAAATATTTATTAAAATTAAATAAAACTGATCATTCAAATTTTGATTAGTATCATATTCAGATCCTTTTGTTATACTTATGAATTTACTATTTGAAAAATATGTATATGCTTTAACTAAATCACTGGTAACAGATAATTCAAAATATTAATAGTTAATATATTTTTGCCAAAATTTTAATACTGTCTTAGTCTAGAGGTCATGTTACCAGAATTATAATCTTGAGCAAATTAATGAATTTCCCTGACACTCAGATTACTCATCTGTAAAATGTGGATAAGAGTATATGCCTCATAGAGGGTCTGAGAGAGTTCACTGAATTAATATCCATAAAACACTAAGGACTTAGTGTTTGAGATAAGAAAATATAAAATAAAGGTGTGTTATCAAAATAGTTTAAGAAACCACTAGAAGTTTATATGTTTTAATTAACTATAAAAACAACAAAATAGTTGTTCAGTTTGATATAGTGAAATCATAGGAAAGTATTTCTAAAATTTTAAAAGCGTATTTGTTATTTTCTGTAATTATTCTTACAGTCACATAAAATTTCATTGAATGAGATTGTAACAAAATATGCTATGCTGTAAATGATGTTGTTTTCTTCAGTGGTTCCTGAACATTAAACCCTGGTAAAAACAGAATTGTTCTTTGATCTTACTTGATAGACTAAGATATCAAAATTTTAAAAGTGAAAAGGACCACAAAGGCCATATAATCAAGCTATTTTTTTCTTACATCTAAAGAAATTGCAGTCACAAAGATGTAAAGTGACTTGTTGGAAAGTGTAATATAATAAATTTTTAATAGAAATATTATTCCATACTATAACCTAGGTCTTCTTAATTCATGTCTAATAATCTGTTCATACAAATAAAAATTCCCTGATATTCCTTGTACACTCTAGTTAAACACCAGAATTAACTGTGGAACTTAAAAAAATGCATTATTGACTGTGTCTCAGATAAGACCAACTGAATTCAAATCTCTGGGTACTGTACCTTGGTATCTGTAAAATGTAAAGATATGGAGAAAGTTGTGTTGAGACCCCGTAGGAAAAAAAATGAAAAAGATATAGAAAACTGCTCATGATTGTTAAATATTAATGATGTATATTTTGGTCCATAATATTATTGTCAAGTTTTATGAAAGTTTCAAGGTGTTCATAGAAATGTAAAAATTAAAAAGTGACTGTTAAAGTTTCTATAAATGTTGATTATCCAAATCTTAACCCCTTGCCTTATATAAAACCCTGATTTTTACTCAGTGGAGACTCCAGCATTCACCACCAACTCTAAAGAAATGCCCAACTCAACAAGTATTGTCTGCCATTTTTTTCTGCTATATTTTGTCTCCTTTATTTCTCCAATCATTTCTCATCTTGAAGCCATCAAAAAAAAAGTCACTCTTCTTCCAGACTCTGGTGATTCTCAAGTAATCTCTCCCTTTCTTGCTTAAGGTGGTACCTGATTCACACAAATAGCACTCCCCAAGTATAAAAGATGTTCTGGTTTCAGAGCAGTTAACAAGATAGCCTCTTCCCCTGTCATCCCACACTGTCACTTGGATGCTGAAGCAACACTAGACAAGCCTAGAAGTCTAGAGGGTCTCACTTCAGTTTTTGCCCTCAGATATTGTCTGGGGAACACTATTCCCCCAGTTTAAGCCACTATCATCACCAAAGGACAGATATCTCTTTAGATTATAAGCACATTAGCTAAGCAAATTACATTCCTCAACATGAGCATTTAAATTTATGTTAATGGTAAATTCATAGAAAATGAGTGAGTAATGCTTATACTGAGTCAACTAAGCTGATAATTTTCTAAAACAAAAGATTGTTTATGGCTAATTGGAATGTGCTACTTACAGAACAGAGAAAAAAACTGTTCAAACTGTAGTGGCAGCCTTTTCTCACTACTTCTTAAAGGTTGAACATTCTAAAATTTCTAGTCTCAATATATTAAGTTTTTGCTTCCAGTAATATAAAATAAAAATATACATATATTGTATTTTTATTAAAATAGATAAACTTTGGGACATGGGACTTTTTTTTTTTTTTGGTTTATATTCTCTGCATGTAGGCAGACCTGATTTTTTAAATACCCATTTCGATGAGAGTGAAAAATACTTTGGACTGTAAGGTATCCCTATTTTTTTATATAGCAGAGCGTTACTCAAATTACATTTGAACAACAGAGAGACAGAATCATATAATCTCCATCAGATAAATTATCTTTTTTCACCACGCTTTGAAGTTCTTTTATCTTGTTAAAGTTCATTATTCTTGAATACTAGTAGGAAGCTTCATAGTATAATCTGGCCTCTCTTTGCCTATTTCTATAACAAGGAAACAAATTAGAAAATGGTTATCTATAGTTGTTTTAAAAAGAATATATGTAATTGTATACATTAAATATTAAGATTACAGAAGAAACATTTTTCTTGTGCTTTTATAAATAAAAGAAATATAAAAACAGTAGAAATTAGAATATTTTTAGTTGAAAAAAATTCTATTCAGTTTTGGTTCAGGAGTATATGTGCAGGTTTATTATATAGGTAAAGTTGTTTCAAGTAGGCTTGTTGTATAGATTATTTTTTCACCCAAGTACTAAGCCTATACCCAATAGTTATTTTTTCTGCTCCTCTTCCTCCTCCCACCCTCCACCCTCAAGTAGGTACTAGTGTCTGTTGCTCCCCTCTTTGTGTCCATGTGCTCTCATCATTTAACTCATACTTATAAGTGAGAACATGGGGTATTTAGTTTTCTGCTCCTGAGTTAGTTTGCTAAAAATGATAGCCACCAGCCCCATCCACGTTTCTGCAAAGGACACGAGCTTGTTGCTTTTTTTTTTATGACCGTGTAGTAGTCCTTGGTGTACATGTCTTACATTTTTTAATCCAGTCTGTTATTAATGGGCATTTAGTTTAATTTTATGTCTTTGCCATTGTGAATAGTGCTGCAATGAACATACATATGCATGTGTCTTTATGGTAGAACAATGTATATACCTTTGGGTATATAATCAGCAATGGGATTGCTGGGTCAAATAGTAGTTCTGTTTTTAGCTCTTTGAGGAATCTCCACATGGCTTTCCACACACTAATTAAACTAATTTACACTCCCACCTATAGTGTACAAGTGTTTCCTTTTATCTCCAAGCTTGCCAGCATGTTATTTTTTGACTTTTTAATAAGAGCCATTTGACTCCTGTGAGATAGTTTCTCATTGGGATTTTTATTTGCATTTATCTAACAATCAGTGATATTGAGGTTTTTTTCATATAGTTGTTAGCCATGTATGTCTTCTTTTGAAAGTGTGTGTTCATGTGCTTCGCCCACTTTTTAATGGGATTTTGGGTTTCTTTGTAAATTTAAGTTTTATATAGACCCAGATGTTACACTCCTCCAATGCATAGTTTGCAAATATTTTCTCCCATTCTGTAGGCTGTCTGTTAGGTTTTTTGTTTGTTTGCTGTGCAGAGGCCCTATAGTTTAATTAGATTCCATTTGCCAGTTTTTGCTTTTGTTGCAATTACTTTTGACACCTTTGTCATGAAATCTTTGCCCATCTCTATGTCCAGAATGGTATTGCTTAGCTTGTCTTATAGGGTTTTTATAATTTTTGGTTTTACATTTAAGTCTTTAATCCATCTTGAGTTAATTTTTGTATATGGTTCAAGGAAGGGGTCCATTTCCAGTCTTCTGCATATCGCTAGCTAGTTATCACAGCATCATTTATTGAATAGGGAATCCTTTCCCCATTGCTTGTTTTTATCAGCTTTGTCAAAGATCAGATGGCTATAAGTGTGCAGCCTTATTTTCTGTGCTCTCTATTCTGTTCCACTGGTCATGTGTCTGTTTTTGTACTAGTATCATACTGTTTTGATTACTGTATCCCTGTGGTATAGTTTGAGTAGTGTGATGCCTCCAGCCTTGTTCTTCTAGCTTAAGATTCCCTTAAGTACTTGAGCCCTTGTTGGTTCCATATTAATTTTTAAATAGGTCTATGAAGAAGGTCATTTGTATTTTGATAGGAATAGTATAAAATCTGTAAATTGTTTTGGGCAGTATGGCCATTTTAATTATATTAATCAATAAACATGGAATGTTTTTCCTTTTGTTTGTGTCATCTCTAATTTCCTTGAGCAGTGTTTTGTAATTTTCATTATAGAGATCTTTCACCTCCCTAGTTAGCTTTATTTCTAGGTATTTTATTCTTTTTGTGACAAGTGTGAATAAGATTTTGTTCCTGAGTTGGCTCTTGGCTTGACAGTTGTTGGTGTATATGAATGCCAGTGATTTTTGTAAATTGATTTTGTAAGCTGAAATTTTGCTCAAGTTCTTTTATTTGCTTAAGGAGATTTTGGGCCAAGGTTATGGAGTTTTCTAGATATTGAATCATGTAATCTGCAAAAAGAAGTAACTTGACTTCCTCTCTTTCTATTTGGATGCCCTTTATCTTTCTATCTGGTCTGATTCCTCTGGCCAGGACTTCCAATACTATGCTGAATAGGAGTGGTAAATGAGGATATCCTAGTCTTGTGCCGGTTTCAAGGGGAGTGTTTCCAGGTTTGTGCATTCAGTAGATGTTGGCTGTGGGTTTGTCAGAGGAGGCTCTTATTATTTTGAAGTATTTTCCTTGGGAGTTTTTCACATAAAGCGATGTTAAATTTTATCACAAGCCTTTCCTGCATCTGTTAAGATAGTCATGTGATTTTTGTCTTTAGTTGTATTTATGTGTTGAGTCACATTTATTAATTTGCATATGTGGAACCAATCCTGCATCATAGAAATAAAACTTACTTGATTGTGATAGATTAGGTTTTTGAGGTGCTGCTGGATTTGGTTTGCAAGTATTTTCTTGAGAATTTTTACATCAATGTTCACCAAAGATAGTGGCCTGAAGTTTTGTTTTGTGTGTATGTTACTGCCAAGTTTTGGTATCAGGATGATACTGGCTTCATAGAATGTGTTGAGGAGGAGTCCCCTCCCCTAAATTTTTTGGAATCGTTTCAGTAGGAATGGTACCAGCTGTTCACTCTACATGTGGTAAAATTCACCTGTGATGTGAATCTGTCTGGTCCTGGGCTTTTTTGGTTGGTAGGCTATTTATTACTGATTCAACTTTGGAGCTCATAACTGGCCTGTATAGGGATTCGATTTCTTCCTGGCTCAGTCTTGGTAGGATATATATGTCCAGGAATTTATCCATCTCTTCTAGGTTTTCTAGTTTTTATAAATAGAGGTGTTCATCATAGTCTCTGATGGTTATTTGTATTTCTTTTTGTGTGTGTGATGGAATCTTGCTCTGTTGCCAGGCTGGAGTGCAGTGGTGCGATCTCAGGTCACTGCAACCTCCACCTCCCGGGTTCAAGCGATTCCCCTGCCTCAGCCTCCCAAGTAGCTGGGATTACAGGCATGTGCCACCACGCCCAGCTAATTTTTTGTATTTTAATAGAGACAGGGTTTCACCATGTTGGTCATGATGGTCTCAGTCTCCTGACCTCGTGATCTGCCTGCCTCGGCCTCCCAAAGTGCTGGGATTACAGGCGCGAGCCACTGTGCCCAGCCAGTTATTTGTATTTTTGTGGGATCAGTGGTAATATACACTTTGTCATTTCTGATTGTGTTTATTTAGATCTTCTCTCTTTTCTTCTTTATTAGTCTAGCTAGCAGCCTATCTTATTTACTTTTACAAAAAGCCAGCTCCTGGATTCATTGACCTTTTGAATTATTTTTCTTGCTTTTGTTTTTGTTTTTGTTTTCTTTTTTTGTCTTAATGTCCATCAGTTCAGCCCTGATTTTGGTTATTTCATGTATTCTGCTAGCTTTGGAGTTGGTTTACTCTTGTATCTCTTTTAGCTGTGATGTTAGGTGGTTAAGTTGAGAGCTTTCTAACTTTTTGATGTGGGTGTTTAGTGTTACAAATTTTCCTCCTAACACTGCCTTAGCTATGTCCTAGAGATTATGGTATGTCATATCTTTATTCTCCTTAATTTCAAAGAATTTCTTGATTTCTGGCTTACTTTCATTATTTATGCAAAAGTTGTCCAGGAGTTGTTTGCTTAATTTCTATGTAATTGCTTGGTTTTAGTGATATTAAGTCTTGATTTCTATCTTTATCGTACTGTGCTCCCAGAGTGTGTTTGGTATGATTTCAGTTCTTTTGCATTTGCTGAGCAGTGTTTTCTGTCCAATTGTGTGGCCAGTTTTAAAGTATGTGCCATGGGGTGATAAGAAGAATGCATATTCTCTTGTTTTTGAGTGGAGACTTTTGTGGAGGTCTATTAGATCCATTTGTTCCAATGTTGAGTTCAGGTCCTGCATATCTGTTAATTTTCTGCCTTGATGATCTATCTAATACTGTCAGTAAAGTGTTGAAGTCTTCCACTATGATTGTGCTGGAGTGTAAGTCTCTTTGTAGGTCTCTAAGAAGTTGGTTTATGAATCTAGCTGCTTCTGTATTGGGTGCATATATATTTAGGAAAGTTAGGGCTTCTTGTTGAATTGCACACTTTACCATTTTGTAATGCCCTTCTTTGTCTTTTTTCACCTTTGTTGGTTTGAAGTCTGTTTTGCTTGAAACTTGGACTGCAACCCCTGCTTTTTTTCTCATTTCCATTTGCTTGGTAGATTTTTCTTTATTCATTTATTTTGAGCCTATGGGTATTACTCCATGTGAGATGAATTACTTGAAGACAGCTTACCATTGAGTCTTGCTTTTTTATCCAGCTAGGCAAGCTGTGCCTTTTAAATGAGCCATTCATCACATTTACATTCAAGGTTAATATTGATATATGTGGATTTGATTCTGTTATTTTGTTGTTAGTTGGTTGCTGTGCTGGCTTGTTTGTGTAGTTGCTTTATAGTTTCACTAGTATGTGTACTTAAGTGTGTTTTTGTATTGACTAGGAATGGTCTTTCCTTTTTATATTTCCTGCTCCTTTCAAGATCTCCAGTAACGGGGGGTCTGGTAGTAACAAACTCCATCAGCATTTACTTATCTGAAAATAATCTTATTTATCCTTCACTAAGGAAGCTTAGTTTGACTAGATATAAAAATTCTTGTTAAAGATTTTTTTTTTCTTTAAGAATGTTGACTATAGGCCCTCAATATTTTCTAGCTTATAAAAGTTTTCCTGAGAGGTCCAGTGTTAGGCTGACAGGGTTCCCTTTGTAGGTGTCCTGCCCTTTCTCTCAAACTGCCTTTAACATTCTTTCTTTCATTTCAACCTTGAAAAAAACCTTATGATTATGTGTCTTAGGGATGACTTCCTTGTGTAGAATCTTGCAGGGGTTCTCTGTATTTCCTGCATTTGACTGTTAGTTTCTCTAGCAAGGTTGGGGAAGTTTTCATGGATGATATTTTGAAGTATCATCCATGAAAGTTTATGCTTTCTCCCAGTCTCTTTGATTTTTAGATTTGGCCTCTTTACATAATCCCATATTTCTCAGAGGTTTTTTTTCATTCCTTTTTATTCTTTTTCCTATACTTTTGTCTGACTGTCTTATTTCAGAGAGCCAGTCTTCAAGTTCCAAAAATCTTTCCTAAGCTTGGGAGGTATAATGCCACTACCTTCGACTGGTTGGAGTTCCAAACCAGTGGGTATTATCCTGTGAGGTGCCATAAAAGCAGGATCTGTAAACCATTGCTGCCCAGCCCACAGGATTCAGCCCCTTTCCTAGGGATATGTATGGGGGTCTAACATCCTGCTTTGAGGGAGTTGCAGCTGCTTTTGCCAGGGAACCTGGGTATGGGTATTTAAAGCTCCTAAGGCTCCACGTGTGCCTGAGTGCTGCTCTGCTGAGATTTCACATAGCTCTGCTATCAGACTAAAAGCCTTAATGGAGTGGGTTCACGAGGGGATCTCCTGACTTGAGGGTTGCAAAGATCAGTGAGAGAAGCATGGGTCCCCAGCTCACTCACTCACTTACCACTTCCCTGGGTCAGGGAGTCTCGCTTGGCTCTGTTGCTCCCCAGTGGGTGGTCATCCCACCTTGCATTTCTCCATTCTCCATGGGTTGAGTTGTTTTCTTGATGAATCCCAGTGCATGCACCTGAATGTTTCAGGTGAAAGTGCTGTATTTACGTCCCCACTCTTTTTCTCTCCATGACAGCAGTGCGTAGTAGCTGCTTCTAGTCCGCCATCTTGGTGAGCTTCCCAGAAAAATTTTTCAAAAGCACTCATAATCCAGTACTAACAATAGTTAATATAATCAAGTGTTTAGATATGTGTAGATTTATAATATTTTAATTGTGAAGCATATAGCTTTCATATAGTTTTGTACTACTACTGATACATTTTTGTTATATAACACTGTACTTACAGTACTTTCTGTTTTGAATTTTATTTAGGCTAGTTTCATAAAAGTGGAAATCTTGGATATAAACATACGGTAACCGCTATAATACAGAGATAAATTCCATTGTGAAAAATGCATTTTTTCTTAAATCTACAAATATTTAAAAATAGTTTCCCCCAAATTGCAGATTTTCCACATATATAATTATATAATACATATTTTTGATTTATAAATCATAATAAAAACTCATAATTATTTTTATTTTCATTTATTAAATGATTTATAGTTAAGAATTTAACTGTGAATAAAATAGCCTTCATCATATTTTTCTAAAAAATAAATGGTTGGAAGGCAAATATGCTTCTTTTAGCTTAAACTTGTACTTTTTTTCAAATTAAATGAATTTAGTTTCTTGAAAGTATGAACGATAAGTATATGTACGGTTTGTCAGTCATGGTGATTATTTCTATTTAAATGTATTGTTTATATAATTTTTTAACATATTAGGTATTGGTGTGTATGTGTGTATATCTTTAGCATTTTATGACTGTCCACATCAAGTTTTAAGATAGGCCTAGAACTTCTGTCCAAAATTATATAAAATGTATAATCATTTGTCATAATAGGAGACCAGGTTTTGAATCTAGAAGTACTCACCAAAAATAGTTGTTCTTTGAAAACAACTAACAAGAATTACAGATGCTGGCAGAAGACTGGTGACACCAGTACTCTTACAAAAATAGCTGTTCATTGAAAACAACTAACAAGAATTTTGGAAGATATGAGATTCTACCTTAATACAACCTGACATGTGAGTTTGCCACAGTTTCATAGATGCTGGCAGAAGACTGGTGCCACCTGAATTTAAGGGCAATGGCATGGCAGACAGTGTGAATTTCCTGTTTGCCTCTGCTCCTCTTGTCCTCCAAGGGTAAGGCCTGCCTGAGTGTAAGGGCAATGGCATGGCAGGTGGTGTGAACTTCATCTTTGCCTCTGCTCCTCTTGTCCTCCAAGGGTAACACCTGCCTGAGTGTAGGGGCAATGGCATGACAGGTGGTATGAACTTCATGTTTGCCTCTGTTCCTCTTGTCCTCCAATTCCCACAGTGGAAAATGCAGAGAAGGGCCCGGGTGGATGCTGCACACACAGCAGGCTTTTGTCACAAGTAAGAAACCCTCAGCCCAGGAATCTCTAGTCTTATGAGGGAGTCGTCAATTTTGTCCAACCTTTGCTCTGGAAAGAGATGCTATCTTTATTATTCCAGTTAAGAAACACATTTGCCATTCTCCCCAGAAAGAGACACTATCTCTAGCTTTCAAGGCTGTTTACTGTACAAATCTCCTTGAAAAAATAGTCTTGAAAAAAGCTGCCCATCCTTCTTCACAAAATATGTAGAAACTTGTCAAGAATTATCTGCAATAATCATATATAATAATATATAAGATATTATTATATATAATAATGATTGCATATAATTCTAGGAATATTAATTGCTCTCAGAACTCACAATATCATCAAAATTTGACCATTCATAATATACTGTAAGTATATAAAGGCCACATTGTCACTAGTTAGTCCAAATAAAAGATTCAGAATAGAGCAAGCTTTACTAAAGTTCACTTCAGAAATAAATTAAATTGTGAGACCTTTGTGATAAAAATGGGCTTTAATCACTTTGTATTGCTTTAAAGTAAAGCACTACACGTCATAGTTACTAGCCTCTGATAGTAAAATCTCTTGTTTTCAAATTCTCAGCATCAATTACTTTGGATAAATGCCCACATCTAGACTATGTAATTCCGGTAGACTGCCAATCACCAGACCCACAAGAGGCCAAAAGGCTTAGAACAGTAACTGGCACAGAGCAAGTGCCATTTAAGTATTTGTTACACAAACAAAATTAAACCAAATAACTCTAAAAAAGGTCATGCTCAGTAACACGTCATTGCATGATATCAAATCTCACTTTTTTCTAAATTTATAATAGATAATTCACTATTATTCAAAATCCAAAATTCACCGTTATTCAAAATTCAAAACATATAGATTTACAATTTTATTTTTCATACATTTGTCCCTCAGGCACCCAGTTTTCCTCATTATAGGCCAACAATACAATTACTTTTTATCTTTGGATAAGTTTTATGGACATAAAATATATCCAAATCCAAAGTATACATATACAAACTACTGTCTTCTTATTTTAGTATAAAGAGTAGCAAACCACACACATTATTTTGTCTTGTTTTCTTCACTGACATATGAATGAAGGACATTGTACATTCAACATGTATGAAGATTTCTTATTTTGTTTTGTAGCCACATGTTACATCATTCTGTGGATTTACAATAGCACATCAAACCTGTCTTCTATTGTTGAATATTAAAATAATTGCCAATATTTTGCTGTCCTAAACAAAATCACAATATTAAAATTTCAAGTGACTCACTTTGTAGGTGTGTAGGAAGACTCGTCAGATAAATTATTAGACATGGTATTGTTTAATCAAAGCGTTTGTGCCATTTTGTGGGGTGAGTGAAAAAAGGTTGCCATAGGTAACATCCACAGATTTATATTCTTTAAATTTCCTCTAATAATCAATGAAGATACCTGTTCATCAAACCATCCCTACAAACTTTATAATCAGAAAAGAAGAAAGAGGGAGAAATGAAAATAAACCAAGCTTACAGCACATTAATCACTGAATCAGCTCACTCTCTGACCTGCTTCCTCATAGTTGTTTGCTGCCTGTTCCCCTAGAATCAGGCAGTCCCTGTTACAAGATTATAGTTCCACTTAACTGCTCTATAGATAACAACTTAAGCATTGTAAAACTTGCGTTTTCAATTTGAGATGTTATTTAGGTCCTCTATACCAGTGAAACTGCTGATGTCAGCTGGGCTGAAGGACCCCACAAGAAACTGACTCACCAAATAATGCATTTCTACATTGTGATGATTTCATTTTCCTTACCCTGATCAATCAATGACTCCAATTTTCCATCCCCTCACCCACCATGATCCCCTTAAAAACTCCAACCCAGAACTTCACAATGAGGCAGATTGGAGGGTTCCTCCCATCTCCTTGTGTGGCCATCCTGCAGTCATTAAACTCTTTATTTGCCATAAATTTTGCTATCTTGGTGTATTGGTCTATACTGTGCAACAGGCATATGAACCTGGTGGTGATCTGATGCGTATACACTCACTAACAAAATATGCTATCACATGCTGAGTTTTTGCCAATCTGAAAAGTTAAAAATGACACAGTAATGCATCTATTTTGCATTTCCCCTACTGTGAACAAAATTGGCCAAATTACATCATATAATTATGAGATAATTATACTTCTTCACTAGATAATTATTTATTTGCCACTTTTGAATGCCCTTCTACTTTCATTTCAATTTGGAAAAGCACTTTGTCCCATAAATGTCAGTTTTTTGTCCTTGAGTTACGAATATTTCTTGTTACACAGTTCTGGTTGCTGGAAGTCCAAAATCAAGTGTAAGGCCCAAAATAGGGCCATACCCTCTCTGAAACCAGAAGCAAGACTCTTCTCTTCATATTGCTGGCTTCTGATTGTTATCAGGAAGTCTTTGGTGTTTCTTGGCTTGTAGATGCATCATCCAAATCCTTCATTTTTACATAAAATTTCCCTGAATGTCTTCATATTATCTTCCCTCTGTGCAAAGCTGTCCCTGGGTCTATATTTCTATTTTTATAGAGGATGCAAATCATGTTGGATTATAATCCACCCTAATGATAATTGTATCCTCATTACCTCTGTAAAGATATTATTTCCAAATAAGGTCATATTCTGAGATTAGAAATTCAATGTCTTCTTGAGAGAACACAATTCAGCCTAACATATAACACCTTTTAACTTTAATTATGATGATATGGCTATGCAGAGTGTTCATTGATTTTTTCCTTTTTTTCACCTATGGAATTCATGAAACTCCTTTTATCTCATTAAATTTTATCAAATTAATTAAATTTATTTAAAAATTTAGCTACACCTCACATATGTTGATGAAACTAATTGGATATCAGCATGATTAATTTTACTATGCCAAGTCACTCATTGATTTATATACTCAACTGTTCTGATTTTTTATTAAAGACATCTTTACAGTTATGCTGTATTAAAGGCATCTTTACAGTTACATTGTATTAAAAGGCATGTTTAAAAAAACAAAGAATAATATGTCTGTAAATATACGAAAAATGTACCCCCACAAAGATATCCACACACTAATTCCTAGAACCTGTGAATGGGTTAACTTACATAGTAAAAAGGGAGTTTGCTGCAGTAATTAGGTTAAGGATTTTGGGCTGTGATAATTACTCCAGTTTCAATGTAATCGCAAAGGTCCTCATAAAAGGAGGGGACATCAAATTCAGAAGAATTGCTGGAATGATGCACTCTGGACATGGAAGAGGGAACAAAAATAAGGATTGTCAGTAACATTTAGAAACTGGAAAAGACCTGGATTCAGACTCACTCCTGAAGCCTCTAGAAGAAACACAGCACTGCCATAACATTGATTAGGCTGCCGACCTCCAGAAGTGTAAGAGAATAAATGTTTGTTATATAAGCCAATAACTTTCATTTGTTAAAGAACCAATCAGAAACTAACATATCACTTAAGATATAAAATATGAAACATAAGTGTACTTAAAACATTATGTGTATCCATCTCTAATTGATTTCCCCTTCCTCATACCGTGTATATAGTAAGCCACTTTTCTCATTTTGGCATAATCATTTCCATAATTTTGATAAATTTTGAATTTATAAATGTTTAAATTTTATCTATAACAACATAGAGAAATATATTTAAATTTAAAAATATATTAAGTATAACTAATAAATATAAGTACATATTTAAATTGTATACATTATATATTTTAATTTTTATAGTTTAAAATACGTATCTATAAAATTTTATCAGCACATTGGGAGGCCAAGGTGGGCAGATCATTGGAGGTCAGGAGTTCGACACCAGCCTGGCCAAGATGGTGAAACCCCGTCTCTACTAAAAATACAAAAATTAGCCAGGCCTGGTGGCAGGCGCCTGTAGTCCCAGCTACTTGGGAGGCTGAGGCACGAGAATCTCTTGAACCCAGGAGGCAGAGGTTGCAGTGAGCCAAAATCACGCCACTGCACTCCAGCCAGGGAGACAAGAATGAC
The DNA here is from genome assembly GCF_000001405.40 of Homo sapiens. NCBI lineage: Eukaryota > Metazoa > Chordata > Mammalia > Primates > Hominidae > Homo > Homo sapiens. The sequence continues at coordinate 83,604,023 of NC_000013.11, forward strand.
ACTCCGTCTCAAAAAGAAAAAAAAAATTATTACAGATAAAAAATATTTAAATTTTGTAAATATATTTAAATATGTATATATGGTTTACATTTCAATTTTGTAAATATATATTAAATCATTTAGATAAAAATCTTAAAAATTTGTAAATGTAAAATTTATACAAATTATGAAAATAATATACACCAGTATCAGAAGAGTGGTTTAATATATATGGGAGGAGGAAAAGAAAAAACGATTAGAGATGGATACACATGACATTTTAAGTATATTTATATTTCACATTTTATATCTTCAGTGATAGTGCAGTGACTGATAGTTATTTCCTTCTTCCAGAGTGACAGCAGAGTGATACCTCTACATACAGTTAGCCGGTTAGACTGCATTTCCCTAGCTCCTTTGGTCTTAGGTGTTGCCACGCGACTGAGTCCTCACAAATGGTGTATATACAAAAGTGATGATGGGCTACAGTTCTGTGTCTGAGCTTCAAGCCATTGGGCAAATGATTCTTTATACTCTATCCACTTGTAGCTAGAATATGGACATGTAGGTAACTTCAATTTACATGTAGAGTTATTTCGTGGATTTCTTAGATTTAATGCACAATAAATGTTTACCCTTCCGTGGTCTTCTATGGTGAGGAAGCACATTAGCAGAGGAAGAATGTGA